>NC_000013.11:78105075-78256590 GCF_000001405.40 Homo sapiens | reverse complement strand
GACATAGTCCTACTGAGCTTCTATGATTATCCATAGAGCTTCTGACACCTGCTGATACCTTGATTTTAGCCTAAAACTTGTTTTGTACTTCTTATCTATAGAACTGTAAGATAATAAATTTGAGTTGCTTTAGGCCACTATGTTTGATAATTTGTCATGATCACAAATCAATACCAATTTTATACTTAGAATATTAGTGTGTGAAAGACAAACAAAGTATTTTTAGATATATACAGACTTAAGATATATACCTTCCAATTATCCTTTCTGAAATATTCACTTGATGGGTAGTCCAGGATAAAGATATAAGAAGGACAAATAAGATTTGGTCAATAGTAGAATTAACTCAGCAAATAGAAAGATGAAATTCCACGATGATAGCTATGCATCAAGCTTGGATAGCCATCAGCAGTCCGCATGGATACGTTGACAGTGATTTCCAAGAAAATGCTAAAGAAATTGAATGTATTTCTTACAAAATAAAATAAATAACAACTGAAAGATTTTAGTAATAGGATGAGAAATTATGATTTTTTTCTTAGAAAAAACTGAGAGGCATCTAGAAACTACAAGTAGAGAAAATGTCTAGGAAATGTCATAGTAGATATCAGAAATAACCCAAAATATGACACAATATTGAGCAATTTATGGTGTGTAAGGAAATCCATTTAACCTTGTTGATAGTATTCTTCACCTTAGAGTGGGCCAGGGAATCTGATGGTGAATTTGTAGAGAAATCCTCTATCACCAATTGGCTTTGTAATGAATGCAATTTAATATAATCCTGATAATGTAAATGCCTTTAATTTACTTTCATCTTTTAGAATGAGCTATAGACCAGGCACAGAATTATGATTACAAGATGGAATTTAAATGTTATTCATCTTAAAAATGTAAAGTACATGTATATCTGACAAAACTGAGTATATCTAGGTAGGAAAAGAGAAAAGGAGAGGTGGGTTTGATAATAATAAGCAGGACAGGGTCAATAAATACTAATGAGTGTGTAAAAATATTAGACATGGCAATAGATATATGTATATCTACATATATATACTATATATATATCTACATATATACTATATATCTACTATATATACATATATACTATATATATATCTACATATATATACTATATATATCTACATATATACTATATATATCTACATATATATACTATATATATCTACATATATACTATATATATCTCTACATATATACTATATATATCTCTCTACATATACGTATACTATATATATATCTCTACTGCCATGTCTAATACTTTTATACACTCATTGGTATTTATTGACCCTGTATATATGTATATATGTGTGTATATATATGTCTATATGTGTATATATATGTAAAAAAATACATATATAAATACATATGTAAAAAAATACATATACAAATATGTAAAAAATTAGCCGGGAGTGGTGGCGGGCACCTGTAATTCCAGCTACTCAGGAGGCTGAGGCAGGAGAACCACTTGAAACTGGAAGGAAGAGGTTGCAGTGAGCCAAGATCACGCCACTACACTCCAGCAAAAAAAAAAAAAAAAAAAAAGTAAATTCAGAAATTGCTTTTTATTCAGTAGCTTTATGCTTAAACTGAAAATTCTAGCCTTAGAGGATATCTCCAGCATGTTGGGTCAACTGAACTGACTTATATTTCATTTCCAGATTTCAGAGTTTCATTCATGTCTAGATGTGTGTACTTTAATTTTTAAATGACCCCAAATATTCCCAACCAACATTCTTGCATTTCATATTGTTCAGAAATCCATTTTGATAAAGTGAATACACTTGAAGTCTTAGTAAGCTTCCTTAGGAGTATTTTGCTCTGAAAGGAGGCTATTTTCTTCTAAATTGCCCCCAGAATTCACTTAGTTTGTGCCTCTGTGTTCAAACAGTAAATTATAGAATGACTATGAAAAGTATTTGTTCACCTAACAGACTAGAATATGCTATGTATTTTCTACTTCTTTGAAAGTTAATAGATACAGTTTTTAAGCACAATATCATATCAAGAAGCCGTAACAAAATCACAATGAATAAATGAATAAAGCTCTCAACACTGTCTTCGTAGCATTTTAAGCACCAAGTACAGTCAAGAAATAATTATTTTTTCTTTCTAGATCCAAACAGATCAAAAGAGTTCCCAAGAATAAAAGGGATGATGGTAATCCACCAGATGTTGTACTTTTGAAGCTTCCATCCAACTAATTATCATTTAGGGATTATAGTCCTTCAGAGACTATGCTGACATGACGTCACATGACGTGCCACTTCTTATGAAGATCATCTCTAAGTGAAAGGGGTGCCAAGGTACAATCTGCCTTTTAGCATTTGGCTGAAACTTTATTTATTGAATTTTTTTTATACCATCTGATAATAGAGCAAAATTGTATTTTTGACTGGAAGTAATTCTCTTTTGGAGAACATCATTGATTTAATGAAGACACACTTGTAAGTGTTCTGCAGCACAGTTGAAATTTCACTCACTTTTTAGCTCTAGGCCATTGGTTGAAGTCCAAGTTGACAATTTCAGCTTGTTACGTCCCTGGTGGACAGACATCCACAACATAAACCTATTGTACATAATCTTGTAATTTTGGCAGTCTGTGCATTGGAGAAGCCTGAAAATGCAACTGACACAGAATACATTACTCTTAACAAAAGACAAAGGAATGAGTGAAGAGGATGTAAAACTCCATGAGAGCAACACAAAAAACATGAAGAACTGGTTGCTCTTTCCCACAATTGCAATAGTTTCCTTTTAATATTGACATCTTTTTAATTCAGAAAAAAAAGAAAACTAATACTTATTTTTCACCACCAATAGCAACTGAGAAATGGGTATGAGAGAACAGCTACACAGAAAGAACTGAAAACATACATTTATTATAAATCCACTGATGGAAAATTATGTCTACATCAATAAAAATATATTCATATTACTAATGCATGTCAACTAAATAATGAATCACAGAAAGGTACACAAATTAGCTGAATTATAGACATGAGGAATTATTAATTTAGCTATAAATACAATTATAAAATCAAAAAGTCCATAAAGTAGAAAAAAATGTTTATTTTAAATAAAATTTAAGGCAGATTTAGTAATGAATTTATATCACATTTTGTAAAATGAGGGAAAGATCAATAAATTTTCTATTTAAAAAAATCTAGAAATCTCATTAAAATGGAGAGCTGAGAAGAGTTTTATTCTTTAGCAAAATAGTTAACTAAGAACAAGTCTCTTTTCAAGCAATTATTAAGTCTAACTCTGTATTTTAGTGCAGGACATTTATTGGATTTGATGATGAGAAACAGCTATTATCTATTGCCAGAAGAACTGCTAACATATAGCTTCATTTCACACCTTGTACTGATAATTGACTTAAAGGCATAATGAAAACAAGACTGAAGCCCCAGCTGTGAACCAACTTACCTACAATCGCAAGCTCTCTGACATGTGACCTTGGGCAAATCACTCAAACTCACTGAGTCTCAGTCTTTTTATCAGTAATATGTGAGTTTCACACAACATAATAGAAATGAAATAGCTGGAGCACGCTGACAACACTATCCCCCAAAACAGAGCACTCCATTGGAGCTTATGTTCTCCTGAGCCTAGTCAGAAGATATCATTTCCTCCATGTTTTCTCCTTTTTTCTATTTCCCTTTCTGATTAACCTCATCATCTCTCCAGACATGCAGATTTGCCTGCAGAAGGATCCAACAGGAGATCTCAATAATGGAAGACCATGCTCTCTTATCATCTTGCAGGTCTAAGAGACTAAGAATCAAGTGCAATCTTTCCAACGATTGTAGGTTTTATTCCTTATATCAGTATTTTTCCATCCACTTATTATTCTCTTTGATAAAGGAGATACGGCAAGAAATAGAGGCCAGATAACAATTTACTGGTCTCTTTTTCAGATGTACCTTTCCCAGGGTTCATTGTTGTAAGGTATAGGATCCTCCCATTTAAGCCTGGATCACTATTCTCCATTTGGCAAAGGTCTCTCTAAAAACATAGCTCAGACCTCACTTTCTGGGTCAATTCTTCCTAGGCATCACCAATAGAGTGAGCCGTTCTGAGCCCATCTCTGGCAGACCCTTCCAAACTTCTAGCCCCCATGAGTACCTTATCATTCATTTTGATACCCCCAAACCTGTAAAGGCTCGGTATCAAGTAGTAATCTCAAAAACAATTCAAATGTATACTAGTCACCATCTTTCTTTACCTTGGGGGATGCATTTGAAGACCCCCAGTGGATGCCTGAAGCCACAGATAGTTCAGAACCTTATACATACTATGTTTCTACGCATACATACCTATGATAAAGTTTAATTTGTAAATTAGATACAGTAAGAGATTAACAACAGTAACTACTAATGAAATCAAACAATTATAAAAATATATTGCAATAAAAGTTATATGAGTGTGGTCTCTCTCTTGCAATGTTTTATTATATTATAATTAACAATAGGTAATTAAAATATTAGAAACAAAACTGGGAAGAAGGAAAAACTACTGTACAAACAAAATATGTATACATACATGGGCATACAATAAATCAGTGGCTATCAAGAGCAAGGTGGGGAGTGGGAAGCAAATTGGCAGATGTAGGTGAGAGGATGCAAAGTACCAGATATACAGGATGAACACGTCTAGAAATCCAATACACAACACGAAGTCTGTAGGTAACAAAATTGTACTGTATTCAGGATTCCTGCTAAATTAGTAGATTTTAGCTACTCTTGCCACAAAAACAAAAAATGAGTATGTGAGAAAATGGATATGTTAATTTACTTTACGATAGTAACCTTTGAAATATCTATACATATTGCATAACATGTTATACACCTTAAATATATGCAATTAAATTTAGTTTTTAAAAACATGATATTTGAAAAAAATAAAGATTTAATATGGGTTCTTTGAATGAATGAATGCTTAATACTCAATCTAGCTTGCTTGTACAAAGCCGAATACTTTTTTTTCCTTGATGATTTATAATTAGTAATTGGGAAAACACTAATTGAAAACATTGATATAAACTGTCTCTATGTTCCACTATCATTTCAGTGATCACGTCTGCTTTGCTCACTAGAAAGACTCCAGTATGTACTAAAGTGCTTGTAACAATGTTTAGTAATAATTTTAACAGATTTAACAAAATGATTTTAACAGATCGAATGGGAGTTCTTACATCCTTAACATATATTACTACACATATATCACTGACTTCTAGAAATCTATAGCCAAATACATACATAGACCAGGCCAAATGGACCACGGCTTAATTAATTTAACCTTTAGTACTTGAGAGAAGAGTGCTGTAATGGTCAATATGATTTGTCAATTTGGCGAGGCTGTAGTAGCCAGTTATTCAATCAAACCCTAATCTAGGTGTTGCTCTGAAGGTATTTTGCAGGTGTGATTAGCGTCTAAAATTAAAGTTGACTTTCTCTAAAAGGGATTATTCTGAAAAATTTGGGTGAGCCTGATTCAATTAGCTAAAAAGACTTAGGAAGTGGATTGAGTTTTCAGCTCCTGCCTGAGAGTTTCCAGTCTGCCTGTCCGAATGGCCTGCCCTACAGATTTCAAGCTTGCCCAGCCAGCCCCACAAGTGTGTGAACCAATTCCTTGCAATGAATTTCTTTACTTATATATGCAATTGGTTCTGTTTCTCTGGAACCCTTATGGATCTAGATGAATTGTCTACTGATTTGGAAATATTTTGTTATATCAAAATTTCATTCACTTTGATATTAATGCACTAATTTCTCAAGGTCTTCCTCACTCTCAGATGAAAGCCTTGCCTTTTCCTCTCCTCCCTTCTTCCTATGGAGGAATTGATCTTGTGGTTAATAGAACACTTAGAAGCCTTTTTCAAAAACCCTTTGCTGGTCTGTGTGTGTCTCCATGTATGTATAAGTACACATTTCTTTTCCTCTTCCTCATTGCACACAAGATAGTTATGATAGCTTTGATAGTTCCTATCTGCAAAACTTTAGCTTGGTTTAGCCATTAGACAATGTATACATATGTCACAACATAATGTTGTACACCATAAATATGTACGATTTTTATTTTTCACTTTAAATAGATACATAAATGAACTTTTACTGAAGAATGAATAAATCCAAGTATTTTCAGAAGGTATAGCAGTTTAGAAATAAGCTCCTGTTATGTTATTCTCTTAATTCTTACCACCCCTTGAGTTGTTGCTATGAAGAAGCTTTTATTTTTAATGTCTACTCACGCTTGTTATTTCTGTGATAGATTTCAGAAACCCTGCTTTTTATGGCAGGGTTATTACTCTAGCATTACATTGACATTGCCAAATGACTAAGTGATGTTTGTGGGTTTAGAAACTTTCGGGAGAGGAAATCTTAATGCCTTTCAATCTGACGTAGATTGAAAAAGCTAAAATCCCAAGCAGAGCTAAATATCAAGGTGAGCCTGGCTTAGAAAATACCTTTCCTAGAAAAATGTTCTCATTCTTCTACAGCATCGGGTTAGAATGTGAAGATTCTCTCTTAAAACCCAACTTAGGCATAATTACCAAACATGAGTAAACATCTCATTCAAGACAATGACAATAATAAACATACCACAAAAAGGTTTAACTGACTTTAATTATCATTGCATAGAGCCTAAAGACTCCTATTTGCTCCATTTCACCTTCATCAATTAGAAGCTATGATTATCACATTTGTGTGTTGCTCATTTTCCTTTGCTTTGTAAATAAGTTTTCTTTTTACTATAGGAGGTCATTCAATATTTATTAAGCGTGTTAATATTTGAAGCGACTCATCACTTTACAAATTCTAGTGGGAGAATCTTGTCAAACTTGTTGAACATTACAATGATTTATTATATTTGATAGTGCCTGAAAACAATAAAATCTAGTAATCCAATTGTTGAAATGGTAAACACCACCGTGAACAACCCATTAAGCACAAAATTGGACAGACTGTATATCCCAGTTCCTGCTTAATTGGACAGAAGTTATTTGAATTTATATGACTTTCACATGTACCTCTCTAAAAGAGAAATTCCATTGTACTATTTTCCAATTTAAAGATTTTATTGTTCTCTTCTGCAGAAAAACCCAAATTTTTTTCTGAGAAATATTCCACATTAGAACATATGATGCCACAAATGATAGGCAAAGCAAGGGGTTTTGAAATTAAAAGTAATGAGAAAATGGTAAGTTAAACATGATCAGATGGCATTTTTAAGAATAGATCTCAGAACCTTTAACATGTTCAGATGTTCATGGAAATCTCCAAACGGGTCAGGGTTGACAGGACTTTTCCAATTATTCAACCACAGATCTTTATTCCTAACAAGGATTGTCATACAAAGGAACCGTTTGAAAGATGCTTGTCTGTAGGAATCAAATGCATAGTTCCTTGTGGCATTCAAGGTCTTTTAGTGTTGCTTCAAAATTAACTTCAGCTACTTCCTTACACACTCTCCATTGGAACCAAATTGACCAACTCATTATTCTCCAAACCTGGGTCACATATTGCTGGCGCCAAGTCTTTCTATCTATACTTAGCTTAAAAGCCTTCTTTTCGTTTCTCCACTTACCAAATTCTAACCATCTTTCAATATCCATCCACTTTCTGACTTCTTCTAGCAAATATGATATTTATGACATCTTTAATTTTAATCGTATTTTTCAAAATTATTTTTTAAGTTGTGTATATTTTCCTAATAATACAGGTAATTCTTTCAGGCCAGGGATTATATGTTTTATATTCTGTCTTTGCTCACTACCTGAATTTGATGCAACACTTTCTATATATATAGCCACCATTTAATTTGTTTATGAGTGATTAAATAAATATTTGAGAGAATTCATGTCATGGGTAGTCCTCCCAGCCAGGAGGAAGGAAACCCATTCTCTGGAGGTGACAGGCAAATCTGAGACATTTAAACATATTTCTTAATTTGAATTACTTAGGTTTGCTTTCTACTTAGAAGGTGTCTGATTATTCTTCAGTACTTTGTTTAGATTGTTTTCTATTTGAGTATAGAAAACAGAATAATAATAAAAGGAACATTTTGGAGATACTCGGGAAGAGGTAAGCCTAAAACCACTCATTTCAAAAGACAAGAAAAAAATCTATACTTTCATATATCCTCTAATTCTCACTGGGTTTCAAATGATCTTAATTCTTCTTTACTGTCATGAAATGCTCCCTCAAAGTAGAAAATCTATCAATACAATGGAATCAAGATAAATTTGGGAACCATTTGTTAATTCTATCTGTATAATTAAAATTAATAATTTAGACAACAAAAAATCCATCTCTGCTAAAATATTATTTGGTTTGTGAATTTGTAAAAAATGTATCATAATACATATTGGCATGGAAGGAAGCACTGAACTGGTCTTAGGAGGTGAATGTTAGAGAAACATGTCTTTTGTCTAGCTCAGTGACCTTGGGCAAGGATGAAGGTCATTAAGGCCCAGGTTCCTTCATGATCTATAAATTTTTTCTGGTGATAAATGACTTAATAAATAAAAGAACTTGTTGCTTCCATTTATTGGGGGGCACACTCATTTACATTTTCAAAAGCAATTGTACTATCATTCAAAGATAAGGAAATTTAATCTTTTCCATATGATTATAGCATGCAGTAACCAGTAGACAAAATAGGCACATGGCATGGAGACCCTTCTGACCACCTCCATTCCATATTAATATGTGATAACCCAACGGTAGGTGTGTACACATCTGGCCACATGGATGTAGAAAAGGAGAGCAACATCAGATTTTACGGCATATCCAAATGAATTTGAGGATTTTGGGTATCACTAGCCATGTTTCCATCTCCATTTATAAATTAATTCTAATCAGTGCTGTTTTGAATTACACAATTCTTAAACATTTACATTGACACTAATGAATCATGGCTTTATTTTACAATAAACCCTTCATATGTGTTTTTAAAAATCAGCCTGTAGTGTGATCTCCAAGATCAAGGCAAAACCCCACACTCCCCTCTAGTGATCAAAGTTTGATGACCTCCAAATAACAGAAAACACAATAAGTGGACTTTAGATCACAAGAACAAAAAAATGCCCAGAAGCTACACAAGTCACTGCTGGTGTTCTTTACTTAGGATCCTTTTTATGATAGAAGAATAAAGCACAAGCTGTCAAGAGGCAGCAACTTCCAATTCCTTGGTCTGAAGCTTCAGTCTGAGTAACCAAACAAATAGGTTATGTATATACTCAGGAGAAAAGATATAAAACCACAGAGGGTGGGGCAAGCCTCAAGGAATAAGATTTGAAGAACAAAATAAAAAAACAGGTCAGAAGCAGAAATTCAAACTTGAAATTAGTAATCATGGAGCTTGCACAATTTAGCTGTATTGAAAGATTTCATAATCCATGGAAAAGGATTTCTTTAACAATTACTTGCTTCAATGATGTAGATAGAATATTTTTTATACGTAAACTAATCTGTGAGTTATGAATGATGTCCTTTGTTCTCATGCTTGAGAAAAGTTTTTATTTCATTTCTGGAGTAATACTATCACTGCAGGTCAAGAGAGCATTCATTGATGTCCCTCAGTCACTCACAAATATATCAAAATAGTCTGCAAATTTTTTTAAACTATTAATTTATAATTCACTTATTTAAAATTAATTTTATACTGCAATGTTTAGACTGAAATGTTCCTCTATCTAAAAGTAGTAAAGCAAACACAGAAGTTGTTATTTTTCTGAAGAAGGTAGGTTTTTTAACCCATTTTAAAATTGCTATTAGCAAACAACTGAACTACATCATTCTTATCTTTTCACAGAAGCATGTCTATTTGACAAAACCTGCTTATAACTTCCTGAATATGGTTTTAGTTATAAGTTTCTCACTACTACCACCATCACCACCACCATTACCTGCTTTCTCTAAAGGATAAAAGATTTCAGGATATTTAAGCATAGACAGTGATAAAACTAGGAAAGATTCTTTCACAATCTGAATGTGGTTTATCTCTTCTGGTCCATCTTGCACAAGTCTGACATAATGCCACTCCCCATTTCATAAAATTCCACATTATATAAAGAATGAATTACAGAAGCTTATTATGGAGATAGACATATTTGTCCTTCTACCCTCTTAAAAGACCCTTGAAACCAATAAACTTGATCATTATTTCCCAATTCATTGGTATTCTCTTTCCTTCATACTTTCTTAGGCTCATCTCTTTATCTGCCATGCAGAACATTTTAATTCTTAATCATTCTTTAAGGCTTATATGTTACCTTTTCCAGGACATAATTTCCTGGTTTGTTCTCTCATCACATCGTGCTTATAATTCTCCAGGAGGGCTTACCACAGCTGGCTTGTGGATGACCCCCATGATACTGGTGGATCATGAATGTCTTGAAGGCCAGTCACCACGCCTTGCTCACTTTAGCATTCCTTAGACACCTGGTATATACTTTAGTCATAATGAGTTCCAATAATTGTTTACTGAATTTAATTCAATAGCAAAGATTAATTTTATTGGTTTCAAAATAGTGTTAGGAACATTAAAAATTCTACATTCAGCATTTTAAAATTATAGTATTAACTTAAATTATACACAGAGAAAAACTCCAAATAAACAATGTTCTAGTTACTGATGATCAAATAGAAAAAAAAGCATGTTTTCATCTCTTTTTAGAAAAATTACACTTAAGTAATAAAATGAATTCTTGCGGTGCAAAAGAAAGCAATATAACTGTAAATTACCAGTATTTTGTATTTCTATTTTTTCAAAAATAAAAAAAGAAAATGAAAAGGAGCTCAGATAAGTATCTGATCTGATCCTGCTTTGGAAGCAGTTTAAGAGTTTTTAGTATAAGACTCTATGTAAATCTGACATTATTATTGTTATTTTATCCCCTTATGAACTTTCTTGTGCATACATTGAAATATTCAAGATGCTAATGGCATGCCACTAAAATGAAAAAGTATCCAGGGACCAACTTCTCATTCCATGCTCCTCTAACAGAAAACTCCTCTATTCTTTCTGAAATATGGGTACCTTGAGTGTGGAGGTATAATACCAGCTAACACTTATGACTTCTCAACAGGATTATAATGGGAGGTAATATGCAACTAGAAGTGAGAGCTAAACACATTTTCAGCCTCTGCTCTAAAGTGTTATTTACAAATATCCCTTGGGAATAGTGAAAATTATATGCATACCCTCCTGAAAATACAAGTTAATAATTAGTGCTGAATTGTGAAAATAGCACCTATCAATAAGCACATAGAGAAACCAAATTGCTTATGAAGTTGAAATGACAATTCTTCTTTTCAAATAAATCTTTTGCTTGCAATCAGACAACTGGGAATTGTTCTTATTGTATACTTTATACTCATGGCTGATAATTCTCTTCTAACACATGGAGTTGTGTGCAGAGGGATGTTTGGAAAATCAAAAGTATACTTTTTTATAAAAATCAGCGTATTATATTGAAGGCAGAATTTTTCTTTGCTTGATATTCATTCAGTTTACTAGTTATCTTTTAATGTAAAGAAACAAACCCTACTTTGATACCTGCTGCCTAATCTTGTGCTCTCTACTCACCTTTGCCTCCATCTTCTTCCTTATAGTACAGAGAAACTGATGGATGACCTCTTAGTCTAATGGGGAAGTCCCAACAGTGGCATGCTGCTCTTTCAGGGGTAGACTTCTCAGGGGCTTCCTTCTCAGAGTGAATGTTTATGCCAACATCTCATTATCATTAACCAAGTATGGTTTGTACCGATGTACCATACCAGGAATCAGGGTAGGCTTCCTGCACATACAAGCCTATGCAGCCGTATATAACCCCACTCTTGGCTTATTGCCCTGCTATTACAGTCTTGAGTCTTAGGAATGTTTGAATAAGCAACCTTTGATTTACATTTTGCCCTGAGCCCCCAAAATTATGTAGCTGGTCCTGCCAATGAACAGTAAATTGACATCCATTTCCTTAATACCACAAATAGAACAGAATCAAACAATATAAAATTGTGTCATATTACTCTTTTAACAGTCTCACCAGATTCTTTCAGTAGGCCTCTTATTTAAGTAGTGTTGATTGTAGCTTTCCTTTGACAAAACTCTACTGAGGAACAGCTAAATCCATGTTAGTGGGCAACTGAGGGCCAATGTTGAGATGACAGATGTGTGACTGTATCATTCCCCCACTAGAGATTGTGTGAGACCCCACTGTCAGCCAAATAACCTTAAAATGTATGGATTATCTCTGTGTTTATTTTCTATTACCAAATTTACAATAATGATAAAAGAAGAATTATACAAATTATATGAATTTGACATCTTAGCTGTCTCTTTGAACACAAGAAAAACAGAGGAGCAAGAGAATGCTTTTCTTCCTATTCGTAATAGATGACTTACATTTCCTTGGGTATTCATGAACAAGTTAAGACCATAAAGAAAATTGGATACCACCATAACATTATAAACCTATAATTTGATCTTCAATGATTTTCATGTTGTTGTGGTAGCACTTTTTATCTTCCACATTTTAGAGAAGATTGTTTATTGTTTATTGATATTTAATGCTATAAAACTATCATTTGTTGTGTCCTTTTAAATACCATAATTTGATTCTGGCAAATTGTTTTTGTTTTCTGGCTATTATCATGTCTGAATAACTGAAAGTACATATAAAACAAACTTCCTGTAAAATTATGGACCATTTCTGTATCATTTCTATTTATCCAATCATAGTTTTAATTCAGAAGCTCTTTCTCTCCCCATCTGTGTCTTCATAATTACCTTCAGATTTATGAAAAATATCAGCTGACATTTTTAATTTTGTCCAGTGGCCTTACTTAATGACAAGTCATTGAATTATGTGCTTCCTGGTACATATTCTTCCTTCTGCCTGATCATCCATCACTGTCCTGCACCATGAACCCTCATGTTATCCACTGACTTCTACAAGATCCTCAGATCTAGGCTCAGATTAGATGCCATCACCCCGGAGAGGCCATACTTGACACCAATAACCAGATTAGGTGGCACTTAACCATCATACCACATTTACTTATTTAATTATCTTTCTTCAAACTTTAAATCATTAAAACATTCATTTGTTTAATTATCGTTCTCCCTATTTTAGACTAAAATATTAAAACTTTGACTTTTTACAACATTCCCCCCAAAACTGTTAAATGCTCACCATACACTGCTATCTAATTAGAATTAAAGAATCTTATTTAAAAATAGCTAGAAGAATTGTAACGTTCTCAACACAAAGAAAAGATACATTTTTGAGGTGATAGATATCTCTATTTTTGATTTCATCAATACATATTGTCTTCATGTATCAAAATATCACCTGTATCCCTCCTAAGTGTACAACTGTTATGTATCAATACCATTAAGAAATAAACTCCATTCCTCATGTAAGTGGTTTTGACTCAATTCTTTATTTGTTTATTAAGCATGAACTGTGTGCTAAAGATGTTGCTACACTGAATTAATGAGGCATGATCTCTCTGCTCTGGGACACTTAAACCTCGTGGTCCTTTCTATTTAATAGGTACTATGCAGATCATGATCTCTCTGCCTGACGAACACATCAAGATAAGTGATTGAAAGATTTTTTAAAACTTTGGTTAGGCTGTATATTTCAATATCACGTATGTTCATCTATGTCATCTTTTATTTTCAAACCACTTAAGAGAACCTACCACACTTTCAACACCTTGAATTTAACTATCCATGAAAATATTCAAATTTTCTAGTCAAAAAATGTTACCATAGGAAATGTCTGTTTTGTGGGAAGAAATAATGAGGAAAATTAGTAGGCCCTTATCTAGGACAAATAAATAAAATCTGAACTTTCCTCATCTAACGTGCAATTGAGATTTTAGTGACCTATAAATAGTAGTAAATCAAACATTAATTTTGTTAATGCTATTCGTGGACAATCAAGAAATTCCATTTATATTAGAGTTATTTCCCAGACATGGAGAAAGCAAACAAAGTCAAATCAGAGCTCTTGTTTGTAGGCACACTCTTTCATAGACCTTCAGTCTCCAAACTGAAAAATTGCTACTTTGCCCTTGTGAACTCCTACTTTAATATTTGTATCGAAGTTCATTCTGTCTCAGTGACTAGTTTTCCTATTTTCTACTTTGGAAATTGAATAAGAAAACTTGTTTTCCATATTCTTCGGGGTTTTCTTCAAGATGGCAAGGCAACCTGTGCTTTACATAAAAAAATAGATGAGGAGGCCTCAAATAAAAATCAAAGTAGCTAGCTAATTTATTATTAATTTTTTATCATCAGTTCTTTTAATAGCTACGATATTAATTATCCATAAAAACCTTATGCCTCAACATGATAAGTACATATATTCATCTCTTAACAATAAACAGAGAGTGTTGTAGTAACAGAATAATGGGGTTTGTAGTAAGGGGACATACTTTTGATTTGGGGTTCACTTTTTAAAGCAGCTTTTTAGAATTGTGATAAATATGAATAATTAACTTAAACCTCTACAGAAATATTATTACCTATGGACTAATGCCACTTAAATTCTCATCTTCCAGGAATGCTTTACTTAATACTCAATCTGTCAATAGTCTTGAAGATTTACTTTTCACCTTGCTTAATCTATCTATTATTAATTGGCATGCACCTATGGTCAATAAATAATGCCATTCATTTTGTTTGAAAGAAACCCTCTGGAATGGTATCTGTGCAAAAGTGATTGAAGGAATGATAGAAATGTATCCACTTCTGGATAGAAACATAGGAGGTACTCAAGTGTACCAGCAACTTGTTACCCAAAATTTAGTCTAATAAATGAGGAATGCCAAATTAAAATGAAATTGAAAAAAGAATACTGGAAAGAGGAATTGGATTATGCAGATTGTGATACTGACAGGACATCATTCTTGAACAATTACAATCTCAAGGTTTTTGTTTGTTTGTTTGTTTTTTGCCCTAACGCATCACCCTAATTTAGTACATCCAACAGGGGAACCCACCCGGAGGGAATTGCTCCAGCCAGCACCCATGCCAGGGGAAGAGCGCCACCTGCTGCAGCTTTGTCAAAGTCTGTTATATACTAAAATTTCTTTTGGGGAATGAGCTGACCAACTGTGTATTGCAAAAGTAGCATTCCTTTCGACTTTAGCCCCATGATCTGTAGAGTTCTGCCAACACAATTAGTATAGCTCCAGAGAATGCATAATAGTCACACATAAATAGACAATAACAAAATTAATAACATCAGATCAGTCAACATATTTAAGCTTTACAATTTTATTTATAAACACATATATGTATGCATTAATGTGTTTGTGTGTGTGTGCGTGTGTATGTGTGTGTGCGTGCGTGTGTGTGTGTGCGCGTGCATGTTTGGGAATTTTAACGTCTTTTCATCCCTGGAGCTCTAACTTTGTCATTATAAATTTCCAACTTATATGAATTTATTTGTCTATGTCATTTGAATAATTTCACCATGTAAGTTTCGTTATTTTTGTCTTCTTCTGATCATAAAGAAATAGCTCTTCCTTGACCTGTCTTCACTTTTAGATGTTTGAAACAAAGGTTTTTACATTTGGAGGATCGGAGTCTAGTGAATCTTAAAATTATATTTTCTCAGCAAATCAATAGGAGACACTGTAAAGTGAACTCACATCACCTTCTCTGCTTCTGCCTTCTCCACTTGGAGCTGTATGCAGAAAATATACTACTTGACAGCCTGAAGGAGATTCTCTCTCTTTTAGGAGAGTTGCAGATGAAGGGAGAGGTTAATTGGATATTAGCAGAAAGCTCAAAATGATGTTTCTACTTCAATTTGGGCCTCCAAAGGGTATAGAGGGAAGGATTCGAGTGTCAATTTCCTTTTTTAAAAGATTGATGTTTGGGTTAGGAAATTTAGCATGTCAGAGGTATCTCCCAGCATAAGGCTTCAAAAAAGAAATTACCCAGAAAAGATAAATGGTGTTTGAGCTTTAGTTAGGGCAATTTTATGGAAGTGTCACCCATGAAAGAAAATGAAAAAGTGCAGAGAAATTTAAAATTTAGCTTTAATTTACACTCTGAGGATTATATTCTTTAAGAATTTTGATATTTCTGATTTAAAATGAAAATCAAGCATTACCAATCAGCATGTGAACAGACTCACATAGAGCCCTTTTGATTAGACCTCCTCAAGTTGGGACTTTAGATAGACTCATATTTTCCCTCTTGATTTTTGTGACTAAACCTGAAAATATGAAATTTAGTGACACCATTCACATTATGCTGCTAACAGTTACACAAAATATCTTTGTTTAGGGACCTAATAAAATTGGTCATATAAAGAGGAAATGAGATTTTTAATGCAAAATGAAGCTGACAGTGCTTTTCTATTACCAGGGTCTTATTAGGGAAAAATTCTCTGACATCTGTTTATCCCCTGCAGCCAACCTTGTATTCAGAATACAGTAATTGATTCACAGCATCCACTGGGGATCTAACTGGCTCACTTTTCCACACCGCACTACACAGGTATCTCTGCAGCTAATTCTGAATGTACATCTACATCGTTATCTCCTGGTGAACTGTGACCCTAAACACTTTGGAGGCCCAGATGAAAGTGCTTCCTCCACCCTCCAGTGCTAGGGGTGTAGCAGATTCTGCAGCATGGCAATTCACACAGGACATCCAATCAGAACCATCCCCTTTGAAGCCCTTCTCAGCTGGGAGACCATGAATGATTCATAGCTTCTCCACACAGACTAAAGAGGAAGAGCAAAGCTAGTGTGTATTATTCAGGACTGCATCCTCAATAAGTCTCCATGTTCAGCAAATTGCTACAATGTTTTTTTCTTAGTCCTTACTTCCCATACAACATCTCTTTTGTGTACAAGTTTTAACAAAGAAAGGTCGTCCGTTTAAGCAAACTTGTTGATTGGGTTATTTCCCCCCTTTTAATGAATGTTAGTGCAGTCACAGATTTAATGCAAAGGAAAGCGCCTGGCAGGGACCACACTTTCCAAGAAGGATCCCAAGGCCCCAACTTTACAATTAACTTAGAAAGTGAATTTGGTGCCAACTTCCCATTTTTTCATGATTAGGGTCAAAATATTAATTGCATTGTGCACCATGTGCAAAAGTTAGCTTCATAACGCCATGCATAAACTAAATCAAATATTTTACCCATTGGAAAATACTTTTTGCCAGCTAGTACTGCTGTGCTGCGTAGGAGGTCTAATGTAGGCCCCTCTCTTTCAGCAACCATACAGAGTGATCATCATGATAACGATTACTAAGCATCTTCCCCGTCCCAGGATTCTGCAGACACAATAACTGGATATTACCCCCCAAAGAAACATCAGTTCTGGAAGCTTCATTATTAAGCAAGCAGGATTTTCCTTGTGTCATCATTCACAGAGGGTTTATCTTGCAAGCTGAAATATAAGCACCAGGAGAAAACCACAGAAATTCTACCTGAAAGGGAGAGTGTTACTCAACATCCTGGAGGTTTTGTTCTTGAAATATCAGTTTGCCTTTTGCTTATGACCAAATCCATGAATCTAGTGTTGAAATTCATAACTATAACTTTGGTATTTCTAAGTATCTTTTAGCAATCTTGAATTTTAAAATTTTTCTAAACTTTAAATATTTGCTGCTTTCACATATGTAAGAATATTCCCAGAAATAATACATGCCAAGCAAATTAAAAATTAAAAAGTAAATTTAGAGTAAATTTGCCACTGAGTATTATTTAGTAGTTGGAAGTACTTTAGCCTAGCCTGATAATTTGAAGAAAATACAAAAAGGACTAAAATTAAACAATATCCCTCAAGTGTATGAAAAATAAAATTATTCAAAGATGAAAAGCTATATTTGTTAAGACATCCAAATTACCTGTTTTTATACCATATGTTTTTTTCAAGAATATTGCCTTAAAAAATAAATGCATAAGTGTTTCATCCACCTTAGATCACCTTGGATTTTTTTTTTCTTTGGGCCCAGGTTCCCCTATGGGCTACCTGATTTGCTCATTGCTGGAGCTGATTGACAGGTATGGAGACAAATATGCAAATGATATGCAAATAGACACATTAGGGCAATTCTTTGTAAATAGAATTGCTGCTTATGTACATAGAGTACTTTTTAACAATGGGCTTCTACTTTTTAAGTGCAGAATAATCAATCTCCACAAATTATAAAATACTCAGGCTTAATTCTACAAAACAATATGCACCATAGATAGCTAGATATGAATCATGGGAACAACTTCAACATGTAGATTTTATTTATTCTTAATTACTTTCACTTGAAATACTTAAAACGTTCTCATTTCTCTTTCTGTATCCATGTATTTCATGTGTTGGGGGTGTGTGTGTGTGTGCGTATGTCTGTGTGTGTGTGTTTGCATGTGTATAATGGTTATGGCACTATCTTAACGTATGGTTATAAAAGTGGGCCTATAAGGATGAATTCACATCTCTGTACATTGGGTATAGAATCACTTAATTTTGATTATTGTATTTTTTGGTGCTAAAATTCCCATTTGGTTCTTTGTATCTTCTATTCATTTCCTAAAGCTTTCTTTTGGTTTCAAGAGTGGTCATGATTGCTTGCAGCAACATCTTTATAATAGCTGCTCTAAAGTCCTTGTTAGATAATTTTAACATCTGTGTGTGTCATTTCAGCATTGCTGTATGTTGATTGTCTTTTCTTGTGATTTGAGATTTTTCTGGTTCTTTATATGCTGCATATTTTTGAATTATACTCTGGATGTTTTGAGTTTTATTTTATGAGAGTCCTATTGTATATTACATATATTATTTTATGAGGTTCTACTTAATATTACAGACTGTATTCGTAGTTTCTTTTTAGCAGACAGGTATGGTGACAAAAAATGCAAATGATATGCAAAAGAGTAGACAGATACGGTTAGATTCAGACTGTAAGTTCCACCCCACCTTCTGTGGGCTGCCAGTTCGCTTTTTAGGTCTTTTGTGGTGATTTTTGGATCTGGCCTGCATATATGCCTGAAATATAGGGGTTGGTTTATGTATTTGTTTAGATGTCAAAATTTTCAGTATGATCAATGGAAGTGGTTTCACATGCATGATCTCAGAGTCACTCATTAACAACTTTTTGGAATCACTTTCCCAAATTTTTCTCTCTCCACGATTTCCTCAATAATCCTCAGTTCGTGGGACTCATCATTTTGGTCTTCTATTTAGAAAGGTGAGGCTTTGCTCTGCTGTGCACTTCTGCAGCTGTGTTTGCAACTGGTGCCAAGTGATGGGAAGTCAAAGAAAAAAAAGGAATTGGTTCATCCCTCTTGCACCATAGGACCACTGAATGTAGAGAAAGTCTCCCCTCTCAGAGTTTTGCCTCCTGTAGATGCCTGTTACTAGTCTCTGCCACTTTCACCACAGGATTCCCTGGGGCCTGGGATATAGAAGAATGGAGTAAAGAAAGCGAAAAATAAATGGAAGATTCCCACATTCTCTCTGTGTTATGAGCGTCCTTTCTTGCTCTTTGAGCCAGAACTGAGGGCTTCTTTTGACACTCATTCTATCTGCACTCCAGTGCCCACTTTCTCACTGGCTGAGAAACTAAAAAAAAAATGGTAGAATTTATTCTAGAAGAATAAAAAACAGTAAACTCATGCTAGTTCAGTGACACTGTAATTCTGTTATTCTTCTCCCAGCCACTTTCTGCTGTTTCATTTCAGAATCTTCAAACAGAAGCTTCATGCATTCTAAGTTTTTTTTAAGCATGTATTCAGTGGAAGTTACAGGATGGAGTGTGTTCACTCCATCTTACCTAGAACTAGAAATCTCTAGCATGATTTCAAATGTGAGGATGTTCCCGATGTCGGTCATAAGAAATTGGATTTTCTTATCTAGAATCTGAACTGAGAGGTAGTGGTGATTCAAGTTGCACTGTGGGAATATGCTGCTTTGGAAATTGCTGACAGAGATGACAAGAAGTCTAGGAAGAAGTTGCAAGGTGATTGTGTGAAAGATAGTGCCGTATGTGTAAAATCAGACATGGAGCCAGGCATGTTTTCCATATTTAGACCAACTTGTTGCCTATTATAAGAAAGCTGATGGAAAGGATTTTGGGTCAAAGCTAGCTATGAGTGGAGAAATAAGTTAAAGGGGATTAAAGCAGTAATATATATTTCATAAACCTGCTGCTTTATCTCTTTTTTTCTTATTTCATTCTTTAAGAATTAATGAAATATTCTGGAAGTACCATCTCAACATGTCTGTGGGAAAAGAAAACAAGAAAAAGAGGGCTTAATTTAACATTCATTCCACAAATATTTCTGAAGAACTTATAAAGTGTCAGCACTGTTATAGGCAGAGGAATAGACTAGTGATTTTTTAAAAAATTTCTGATTTCATAGAGTTTATGTTCTCAGGATAGCCTAGTTTCCTTACTTTCTAGATCTTGCTCCCAAGTGTGACGGACAGAAATGATCATGTGATGACCCTTAGGGAATAAATGTAAGGCAGCACCCAAGGGAGTAAGAAGGCACCAAGGAGAAGATGAACCTCAGGTAGAGGGCAGACCATAGGTCAGCCACCTTGGCCCATCTGAAGGTAGTATTTACTCCCTGTGCTGAACCTTGGAAGTTTTGGATTCTAATTTTAAAAGGAAAGTGGTAGTCTCATTTTCCCAGAAAACTTACATGTTCACTCTCCATTACAGATTTCTTACAATAATTACTCCACCACTACACTTATGTTTTCCCACTTTTCATAAAATTTGTTTTACAAATGTGTTGCATCTATGCTTACTTTCAATAACTCGGGAAAGTAGTGGAAACAGCTAACTAAGACATGGCTCCAGCACTCAAAGAAAGTGCAATCTAATGGGGAGGCATTGAAATAAATCAGTTATTTTAAAACAATATAAATTCTAAAATCATAGTTTTTATTATAAACTGAATGCTTTGAAGAAGGACCTTTAACCAAATCTGAGCTGATCCTTGAAAAGATGGTTAAAGCTAGATAAGAAGAAAATGTATTCAAGATAGTACCAACAACATAAACAAACAACCAACAAGGCCTGGGATAGTACGGTGATTTTATGTAATTGCATAAGCTTACTCACTTACTGTCTATGTGAACATCAGTGAAAGAGTTCTGCCTTCCAAGCAGACATAGTCTCTGCATCAATAAAACAAACAAACAAAAAAATAGTACCTACTTCACAGATTGTGAGGCTTGAACGAAATGATAAATGTTAAGTAATTGGCACGGTGATGAGCATCCAGCACTTGCTATCATTATGGTTTTTAAAAATCTTTTTCCTTCTCTTTCTCATCTTTCTCCATATTCTTCTTCACATTATAATAACAATTACTATTATCATCATCATCACTATTAAAGTATCCTGAGTGAGATGGGAAGAGGTTAGAGATAAGAATGGAAAGAGAGATAAGGATAGATCATGGAGGATCCTCTACATTTTTCTAAAAAAACATAAAATGTATGTGGTAGTTTACGGGGACAAATTGAAAGGCTTTAACAAGGGAGTAAACATGGTCCAACCTGCATTTTCCACAAGGGAAAACAGAGGGTGAAATCTTCCAGGAAAAAAAAGCCGGCGGGGAAGCAGAAAGTGACCGAAATAGTCTAGATAACAATGAAAACCTCAAATAAGATAATGGAAAAAGAAATATAAAATGGAACTTATTTCAAAAATATTTGTAAGTAAAATTATCAGTAATTTATGATTGCATGTGGAGAAGTCTCAGGGAGGAGAGAGAATAGGATGATTCCTAAGTGTCTGTTGTTCTGAGTAGATGAGCAATGGTATGACCAGGTAAGAAACAATACTGAAGGAGAAGCAGGTTGTGGGAAAGAGGTCATAAGCTCAGAAAAAATATGCACTTAAGGTCAGCAAACATACATTCCAAATATTTGCTATCTAACTAATCTAGAGCTCATGCAAGAAGTAAGAACTAGAGCTACACATCTAGGAGCCATACAGATGATGGAAAATTTCTTAGAATGGGTGAAAGAGAAGGGTAGATTGAAAAAAGCAGTGGCCAAGAATTGAACCCCTGGAAGGCTAATATTTAAGGAACAGAAACAAAGTGTACATACCAAAAAGGGGGCAGCTAAGGAACACAAAGAAAGATAGAAAAAGGGCTGACAGGCTGTGAGAGAATCCACATAGTTTATTGGGGCATAAGAAGAAAACAAAATCACTGCTTTTTATTTAAATATCTAAAAGCAATTAAGAAATGGAACTCTACTAAAATGTGGTCAGAGGACATGAACAGACACTTCTCAAAAGAAGATATACAGGTAACCAACAAATATACAAAAAAAAATGCTCAGTATCACTAATTATCAGGAAGTGTAAATTCAAACCACAATGAGATACCATCTTACGTTAGTCAGAATGGCTATTATTAAAACATCAAAAACAACAGATGTTAGCAAGAATGCGAAGAAAAGGGAATAATTATGGGATGCTGATGGTAGGAATGTAAATTCACACAACCTTTATGGGAAACAGCATGAAGATTTATCAAAGACCTAAAAAGAGAATGACCAGTTGACCCAGCAACCTCACTGCTGAATATCTACCCAAATGAAAAGAAATCATTATATCAAAAAGACACCTGCATTTGTATGTTTATCGCAGCACTAGTCACAGTAGCAAAGTCATGGAATCAACCTCAGAAACTTTCAATGGATAATTAAAGAAAATATTGTATATATACACCATGGAATGCTATACAGCCATAAAAAAGAATGAAATCATGTCTTTTACAGCAACATGGATAGAGCTGGAGGCCACTATCCTAAGTAAAATAACTAAGAACTAGACAAATATCACATCTTCTCACTTATAAATGAGAGCTAAATACTGTGTACACATGGACATAACAGAAGGAAATAACAGACTCTGGGGACTAAAAAAGGAAGAAAGGTGGGAGGAGATGAGGGTTGAAAAATTACCTATTGGGTACAGCGTTCACTGGAAGCCCAAACCCTACCACTATGCAACACACCCATGTAACAAACCTGCATACATAACCCCTGAATCTCTAAAAATAAAACAATTAAAAAGAAGTTGACCTTCACTCATATTTTACGTATTGATAGAAGTACATGTGCATAACTTAGAAATTCATATATATTTGGTTCTATCTCAAAATTTCATTATTTTACTGCATTAAAAATCATGAATTGAGCAACTGCTGTGAGCAAGATGCTGTTCTAGATGGATATGGGGATAGAAAACATTGGATGCAGGCCCTACCTTAAATGGATTTATAAACTAGTTGGATAGACAAGATATAACAAAGAGAAATGCAAAATACAATATGAAAAAAATAGACTTTGAATTTTTATTTCCATAGGTTTTTGGGGAACAGATGGTGTTTGGTTACATGAATTAGTCCTTTAGTGGTGATTTCTGGGATTTTGGTGCACCCATCACCTGAGCAGTAAACACTGTACCCAAAAAATAGACCTTTAATGAAGAGTTCAAGACTGTAACAGAATAACTGACCCCAGATAATATTTGTCATCTAACATTACAGAAAATTGTGTACTCGCAGTGCAGAGGATGGAGATATCATTTCAAGTGGGGATGGATAGAGACAATGGTAGGCATGCTCATTTTATTTAAAGGAAGGCAGAATTTAGACAGGTGGAGAAGAGAGCATTGCAAGGGCAGAGGAACTAAGAGATCAAATACTCAGAGAAGTACTTGGATTCTGGGAAATGGCAAGTAAAACCTTTGGGTTGAATTGAAGTTTTTCAGATAGAGGAGAAATGGGAGAGGCTTTAAATTGAGATAGCATACCAAATGTGAATAGACTTAAACTTTTGGGTAAGCACTATGAGCCTTTTGAAAAATGTTTTGTTATGTAAATTATGTGATGAAAGGCTTGCATGAGGGCTTTAGAAAGAAAATTTGAAATTACAGCTATCATATAAAAGAGATATAGAAATATATAAAATATATATTCATCATGTGCTTAATTGTTCATGGCTCTGTGCCGAATCCTTTTTTTTTTTTTTACATTATTTCATTTGCCCAAAATCACTCAGTGAATTAGTAGCAAATCTGAAATTTGACTGAAGCACTGAGTCTAAACCATATTATCATAAACACTATTCTATGGTGAAGGTTGTAGGGTATAGGAAAGGTTAAAAGAATGAAAAGGAGTTGAGATGATGGATGAGATAAAACAAGCAAGACTTTTGAACATTATTGTGATAAAGATCAAATAAAAACCTGAAATTTGTAAGGGACCACTAGGCACATAAAGTTAGAAGTGGGTTTGAGAGACATATCAAGGGAAACACAGTACCTTGGATAGTGCCCAGATTATACAATGGTGCCTGGTGCCAGTAGAATGTCAATACATAATTATCGAATGAATGAATGAATAAAAGAATAAATAGAAATGTTCTGGAGGACAGGATAATGGAGCAGTGGAGAATGATGGAGCCACTAACAATTGTGTTAGCAATATAGCCTAGAAAAAAGATACATATTACTATTGCAATTTAATTAATTAATTGAATTGGACAAGTAGCTGGTCATGACATGGCCAGGTTAAATAAATCAATCCAGATTTGTGCAAAAATATGTGTAAAATAACTGTTCTATTCTAAGGATAGAATTATTCAAAATTCTAAGAATTTTTGCATATCAACCAAAGGACAACGATATCAATGGGGGTATAATGACTTTTAGTAGAGACATTATGACATCCACTTTTCTTGTGACAGGAGTTTACAGTGGTGCACCTGTAAGAGAATAATGTTTTAATTGGTAGAAAAGAAGCATGAAGCAAAATAATATTTTTCTCTTTTAAAATACTGCTTCATTTCTCTTCTTGACGTGAACTGAAAAGAAAGAGCAAAGTCTGTATTTGCATGGCTATGTGACATCAGTTCTCTCACCCCAGGAAAATTTAAGAGCATAAATTTATAGTCTGAAATAAAGCAAGAAATGAGAACCTGTAAAGTATTCTGGTGCCACAAAGGAGTGTTACATTGATGTACAAGGCTTTTTATTAGAACCAAAGCTATGTTATGGGGGAAAACATATTGCATACAAATATCTATACTCGAATTATAAGTTTATTAAAAATCTCCTGGATTCCATCTAGTCTTACATATTTTGCAAGGTTTTAAAATATATAATAGTGGTGATCTTCTAACATATGTTGAGATCAGAAAACTCTAACTTTCATAACACAACTTGATTAGGGTAATAGACAGGATAAACGGCATTATGATAATTCATAATTCATCTTGAAAATTATAAAATTGCAAAGAAATTGTGATGCTTTACTCTTCCAAGCAGACTGTAATAAAAATTGAACTTTGTACATTGGTATCTGTAGACAGTTTTACTTTGATTTACCTATATACAAGATTCTGTAATTTTGGTCTAAAGTACTTTATAGATCCTGTTTCTGGACCCTACTCCAGATGTAGGAAATTGGACACTTAGGGAAAAGGAACAGATATTTGCATTTTACATGTGCCCAAAGTGATTCTAATGCAAGGCGAAGTCTGAAAATCAGTAAAGTAGAAAATTCTCTGTGCCCAGACATGAAATAAACTGAGTTTACCTCCTATCATATGCCTGCTCCTCTATTTTCACTTCAGGTACCACTTGTAAAAGTTGTGAAAATATTTAGCCTGGTGTATATTAATTATTCAATGTTTATTTTTATGCTGTAAGTAGAAAATGATTGATATTGAAAATGATTATTGGTTGGGCGCGGTGGTTAATGCCTGTAATCCCAACACTTTGGGAGGCCGAGGGGGGCGGATCACGAAGTCAAGAGATGGAGACCATTCTGGCCAACATGGTGAAACCCCGTCTCTACTAAAAATACAAAACTTAGCCAGGCGTGGTGGTGGGTGCCTGTAGTCCTAGCTACTTGGGAGGCTGAGGCAGGAGAATCGCTTGAATATGGGAGGCGAAGGTTACAGTGAGCTGAGATCGCGCCACTGCACTCCAGCCTGGCAACAGAGCAAGACTCTGTCTCAATAAATAAATAAATAAATAAATACAAATATTATGTCAGTACAAAAATGTGAAACGTTTAAACATATGAAATATAATAATGTTTTTAAGTAAATAATATTCGCCAATAATTTTTCACTTATCTTTGGCACAGAAAAAATACAGATAAATTACTACATTTAGAAGTACTCTGGAAGAACAGTGAGGAATATGATAGAAGACCAACTCAGACTCTCAGAGGCCCCCACAAAAGGGCAGAACCATGCAAGTTACCATTATCAGAATCATTTATACACACACCGCTTTGCCCTGTTTAGTGTTAAAAGAGACAGCTTAGTGGAAATGGCTAAGTGCTTCTGTATAAGAAAAGAAAAAATTGTAGTTTAATAACATTTGATAAATGTGCGTTATGAGAGTGAACAACTGCTTTCTTCTTAAACCTATGTTATAGTGCCCCTACTTTTGTCCCAGTCTCAAGGATAAGACAAAAGCTACATCTGATTTTTTTCAATATGTTCTCCTGTACTGGTAATGACTTAGTGAAGAAATCAATAATATGTTTTCTATGATTTATTTGAAATACATATTTTACTGTACAACTCTATTTCTCAACTATATTTCTCAGTTGATCAGGAATTTTATTATTGTTATGCTTTATGTCTCAAGTGATATGTTTTTATTTTTATTTTATATGTTTAGATTTCAAGTTATATATTTATCTTTTTGTTTTACAATGTCAACTTTTATTTTAAATTCAGGAGGTACGTGTGCAGGTTTGTTACATAAGTATATTGTGTGATGCTGAGGTTTGGGATATGAATGATCCTGTCACCTGGATTGTACCCAACAGGTAGGATTTCAGCCCTTCTCTTCTCCCTTTCCAACCCCTCTAGTAGTCCACAGTGTCTATTGTTCCATTATTTATGTCCATATATACCCAATGTTTAGCTCCCAATTATGTGTGAGAACATGTGATATTTGGTTTTCTGATCCTGCATTAATTTACTCAGGATAATGCCCTCCAGCTCTGTACATGTTGCTGCAAAGGACATGATTTCATTCCTTTTTATGGCTGCATAGTATTCTATGGGGTACATGTACAATATTTTCTTGATTCAATTCATTATTGGTGGGCACCTAGGTTGATTCCATGTCTTTTCTATTGTAAATAGTGTGGTAATGAACATACAAGTGCATGTGTCTTTTTTGTAGAATGATTAAGTTTTCTATGAGTATATTCCCAGTAATGGGATTGCTGGGTCAAATAGTAATTCCGTTTTTAGTTCTTTGAGAAATCTCCAAATAGCTTGCCACAGTGGCTGAACTAATTTACATTCCCACCAACGATGTATAAACATTCCCCTTTCTTGGCAGCCTTGACAGCATTTGTTATCTTTTGTTCTTTTAATGATAGACATTCTGACTCGTGTGTAATGGTATCTCATTGCGGTTTTGATTTGCATTTCTCTGCTGATTAGTGATGTTGAGCTTTTTTTTATATGTTTATTGGCTACTTGTATGTCTTCTTTGAGAAGTATATGTGACACATTTTTAGATAGTAATTTTAATGTTCATTGTTTAGAATTTTAAGATTTTATAACTGATTACCTAGGTCATGTTTATAAGATAAAAATAATCAAGTAATAAAGTATTTTAAATAACATCTGAAATAAAACAAAATATTAAATATGAATATGCTTTATATAAAACAATACTCATCCCATTTGCCAAGATTCACAGAATGAGAAGAAAATCATTGACATTTCCAAGAATGGAAAAGGAAAATAGTGAGAAATAACTCATCCATTTGGAAAGCTATTATATAAGGTCCTAAACATATGGCCTCTGAAAATGATGATTTTGATTGATGCAAGCTAATCACAGGGTCTTGACCTTGGCAGAGTTCTTACACCTCATCTTTCATGCAAACCACTACTCGTCTCTATTTTCAGAGACTACCACCCCAATATATCAGGTGGGATGCAAATGACATTAACATCCTTTCCATAAAATATATAGGAATAGACTATCCACACTGGAACAATTCCTAGACTTGGGAAATTGTACTTTTGTCTAAACGTTGGATAATCTCCAGAATATTTGCAAATACAGGTCAAACCAAACATAACAAAGAATGATCCCATGGTTTGCTTTATCTGCCCACAAACAAATTCCAAAAAGAATTACAAACTCATTTTTACATGTCATATATTAAAGATATCTCTGTACCAAATGCTAGAAGATGACTATTCATTTCAAAATCTAGAACCAACTTACATTGACTTATGTGTAATCTGTGAGCAATTAGTTCCTCTCAGTAATCATATGAGTAATTAATTCCTCTCATCCCTCATCACAGATGATAATTTTTAAAAGTTTCTTAAATGATATTACATATATTTGTTATTATAATTACTGATGTGTGAGCAATTTTCCATCATTTTATAAGGCATATTCAGAAATTGAAATTTTACTTCTCATCGTAGGCCATTTGCTGTTTCATAATGCATAGTGTCTAATTAAACTTGCGATGACCTTGTTGTCCTATTTGCAAATATCATAGTGTCTTGAGTCATTTACTGAGTTGTCAGTGATGGATCGAGGTACTTCTTAATAATTAGGAGGTAAACAATGTTAACTGAGCAGTAATTCACACTAACATTGCTAAGGTATTTCACAGTAACATAGCAAATGACTCATCCCTGCCATTTTGTAAAATGATGTTAGCTTCCACCTGGATAAATCATATTCTTCATTGGTACAGGAGACATTAGAAGATTATCATATTTCAAATCAGCCAAAGAATATATTCTCCTATTAAATTTGTCCTGTACACAGCAGAGCCTACCTTTTAAATGCTGTTCTGTTTTGTAGTACAAATTGGTAACTTTCTCAAAGTGGCAAGACAGATGGCAAACATTTTTATCACACTGGCTCAGTTGTCATAGCTGGCACGAGATTTAGAGCAAGAGCAAAGCAAAAAGAATTCCAAGGGTCTTGATGGGCATTGAGGAGAACACAAAACTAAATGTGCTGGTTAGAACAACTGTTTTTTCTTTTTATCTCATTTAGTTATCTTCTCTCGAATAATCAACACATAATCAGGTCTGTGTGGTGGAAATAATTTTTTAAGATTCTCTTATTTCTCTCAAAATTTCAATAGACATGGAACTTTTTTTCTGTTTTGTAAATTAAGACACTGTGTTATGGCATGGTTAAATGGCAAACTATAACAAAGTTAAACAATCAATGAAGATAAAATAAACCTGGTCTTTAGATTTCAAGTTCAAAGGCATTGTGACTTCAATAATAAAATTATACCTATGTCCTTAAGCAGATTTCGAAATCTGATTTTCATGAAGTGTTGAAGTTAAAAACTGCTACCATGCACAGTCCATCAACCCCTATGCTAGAAATGGAGGGCACTAGAAGGGTCACTCACCCCTCCAGTTTCACATGGAGAAATTGAAAGACAATAACTTGTTGCTTGCCTGAGAAGGTGTAGGGAGTTAATGGTAGAATTTGGAATCATGTGGAGGGAAGTGAAATTTAAATGACTCAGTGGCCAGGCAGGTAAGTATGTGAGTGAGATGAATGAGAAGGACATAGGAATATGGTGGCCACTGAGAGGAATGCATACTTCCACTCAATACACTGAAACATAGCCCACAGCCCACCAGCTTAAAATGTCTAGATACAGTTTTATCTACCTTTTTATCATCACATGAATTCTCTTTTCCTTTAAAAGACTTTTATCACTACTACTCCCTAAATAATAAAAAAGTGCTATTTCCTTTCTCACTACAAAAATATTTTTTAAGCCAAAAATGTGTGTGCTCTTAAGGTTAATTTGGGAGAACTACAGAAATCTCTTTATTAAGGAACATGGCTTTCGGAATTTTCCCAAGATATCAGTTTTAATTCTATTCTCTTATTTTTCCCATATTTTAGTGTACTTCTTTTAATTGGCAAATAAAATTGTATACATTTATCATGTTTAGTTTTTTGAATATATAAGTTTCCCAAATTCTGTCACTTTACCTTCAAATATAGCTCTTGAAACTCCTCTCCCTCATTACCTCTCAAAATTGTCTCTTTGTATTAACAGCCTCAGCTCTGGTTCCTTAATTTCTCACTCAAACATTAATTTTCTGACTGGTTCTCTAGGAAGTTAGAAACTTATTCTCTTTTAAATTACCAATATCTAGCACAGCCTGGCTCATAGTAAGCATTCAACAAATGTTGGTTAACTAAAATTTGGGACTAGCCAGAAGCCAAACTGGATCAGAAAATATCTATTTCTATATATAGATCTCAGGATCCAAAAGCCTAATTCTCACAAAAAAAGGCCAACTCATTGTTCAAATGAAGCAACAAAGAAGATGCCCATACCATTATTAGTTCTGACTGCAACTGACACCTGGGGACCTTGTTTCAAGAGATTTGAAAATGTACATTTATCTATGAAAAAAATCATTAAAGTCATTGGGGGAAAAACTTGATAATTACAATGAAAACTGAAATTTAAAGTTGATTTTATAGAGATGTGTGCTGTTTTAGCATGGATATAAATGTAAAGGCTGTGCGACTTTGTTGTTTGAGCCCAGCTGTTCATTTGGGGTCAAATGTCTCTAGGGTCATAAGGAAGGATTATCTCTTAGTACCCTTTCTGTTTTCAGATTCGTAATCTTAGGGTTTAAGTGCTGCTTTCTTCATGCATATAATTAAGCTCACTTACTAGACTTCAAATTAATTGAGATGGAAAGAGTAACTCTAAGAGATTTTTCATGTGTTAGGTCCTTCAGGGATTAAAAGGGTAACTATCTCAAATTCGGATGCTGTTAAAGTTACTGGGACATTGGTCTTTGAATCAAAGGAGGAAGTTAGAACATTACTTATTTAATGGAAATTATGTCATTTCCAAAAATTCCTCAGATCTTTGCTGAGAGCAGTTTAAAATGTTTATAAGATCTACATTTTTCAAGTTACTTTGCCTATAACTTTACAATGTGAAATTAGCTAAAAGATGAATACTCACTCTAAGTTCAGGAACCTTTTGGTAAATATTTTGAAATACCACCATATGTTTTAAGAATTTTTGGAGAGTAGGGATTAAGAATTACTCAACTTCAAATTGCTGGGGTTACTGTAGTACTTGATATATACCTGGGATTTACAAATATATTTCAAGAATAAAGGAACAAGTGAATGAAGAAATGAAATCAAACCATTTTGGTAGGTGATATCCAGGGCTACTGCACTGAATTTTGAGCAGGCTTAATGGCATAGTAAGGCATAAATCCCCAGGGAACTACATTTTATAACCATTGTTGTAGCAAGATATTTTGTTTATGGCAACGGAGTAGACCCCTGAGTGCTGACATTTCCTTCTCCTTTCCGTTCCCAGATTGAGATGATATAGAAACACAGTGAACCCATACCTAATCCTGGGCTTCTCTGACCTGGTGATTTCTGCTGTGTGGCTGCTGTGACCACTAACTTCCAACCATATCCACAAGGAACAAAGGAGACCCTGAATAGCTGAGCCCTCTCATGCCGACATGGATTCTTGATCACAAATATGCCTTTCGCACTGCTTGCTGCTGATTTGATAATAAATAATAAGAAATATTACCTTAACCCCATCTAAATTGTTATTCTTATCTGTTCTCAAACTTTGTAAGGTGGCTGAACTTGCCCATCAAGACATCAGGCAGAACAAAGTTAAATGTATGTAAAATACGACTTGAATCTAACCAACTTGAAAGTTTTGTCAAAATTCCAATTAGGAAACGTTACAAGAATATTCCTCCCCTGAATCAAATAAGCTGCCAGAAGATGGCTGTGCCTCTGAATACATCCTATGTATTTGTTTCAAGGAATTTGTATTCACTAAACTTCTATACTTTACTCTCTTAGCTTCCTTATAACTCTGCACCCCATGGTTACACTGACTTCATGATTGATGAAGTGTAGAGTTAGTTTCCAAACTAACTGTGCATGTGTCTTTTTTGTAGAAGAAACTAGAGAATCATTTCCTTATTATCCTCTGATTCAACTAAAATAAAGCTGAGTCTTTTAAAAACCCATTTTAGTGGAGTGTAACTTATAAACAAAGAAAGCCACAAATCAGCCAATAAATTATCACAAAATGAAAACATCAAGGTGACTACCATCCAGGTCAAGAAACAGATTACCAGCACGCTAAAATTTTTTGGGGGCTCATACTCCTTGTAACAACATCTATTTTGTCCTTCTTCTTCAAAATTAATTATAATACTGACCTCTAACACCATAGATTACTTTTGCATATGTTGCTTTATATAAATAGAATCATGCAGCAGGTAGGTAGATATAGATACATAGATAGACAGATAGATAGATAGATAGATAGATAGATAGATAGATAGATAGATAGATAGATAGATATAGTAGTACATTCATTTATATTTGGCTTCTTTGCCTTTATGATTTATGATTGTGAAATTAAGCCAAATTGTTGCATGTACCCTCAGATTTTTCCCTTCCACTTTTATTGTTGAATAGTATTTTATAAATATATTATTAATCTCATCTATAGTTACATGTCTTGGAATGAAATTCCTGGGTAAGAGGATGTGTGGCTACTTAATTTATATATATATATATACACACACACACACACACACACACATATATATATACACATAGATAGATAATTTTTCTAAAGTGGTTGTACCAACATTCATATTATATGGAAAATTGACATTATCCACATCTTTACTAACACTAGAAATTGTCAGTCATCTTAGCTATTCCAGTGGATGTATAGCTATAGAAATATTTTTGGTAGGTTTACTGTCCTCTGAGATATCTTCTTTTGTGAGGCTCCTGTTCAGACTTCTTGCCCTTATTTTCACTGGGAGGTGGGGTCTCTCTTTCTTATTGATTTGTAGGTGTCTTTTATATATTGCAGATATAAACTCTTCATCAGTTATATGTGTTGCATATATTTTTACCCATGCAGCTTGCCTTTTCATGATAAGTGGAAGTTTATAAATTTAATAATTTTTAAATTTAAATTTATAAATTTACCGATGTAGCCTGACTTTTCATAGTAAGTAAATATTTATAAATATTTTCCTTTGTAGGTATCCCTTTTATATCTAGATCTATTATTTGCCTAGAATTCACTTTTATATATGGTGTGAGATAGAAGCCCAGTTGTATTTTCTTCTATATAAATATCCAATTGACCCAACATCATTTATTAAAAAGGTCACCTTTTCTCCACTCTCTACAGAGAACACTTTTCATACATATGAAAGCTGAAGCAGTTTTCTTCTAAAGACTGTAACTGGTAGGGAAAATTACCTCTCATCCTTGGTCAGTCTGTTGTAAACATCTGGGTTACTATATCAGAGAAGATTTTGAGGTCACATGTGGGCTCCATGCAAGAGTACCATGATTGATAAGCAGTACCTTCCATTGTCTCATTAGAAAATGAAGAAGGAAGCAGCAACTATTTTATATCTTTGGACTAAACAATAACAAGAAGAAGAAATAAAATAGCATGAAGAAAGAGAGATAAATTACATTTTGGAAGCCATCATATCCTAAATTTTATTCTTTTCTAATTCCCAACTTCCTGACTGTTCTGTAGTTCATATTTGAACATAAGGAAGAATTCTCAATGACCTCGAGATGGTCTGACTTTTAGCCCCAATGGAATGAGGCCCAGAGAAAGAGAGATTTCTTTTTCTTTCCTCCACCCAATATCCATCTTGTCTTCTGAGGTAGGCAGCCTCTGAGATGGTCTTCACTGGTCCCTGCCTTCTGCATTTTGTATAATCCCTTTTCCTTGGGTGTGGTATAGACTTAATGACTCAGTTCCAAGATCAGATGTGGAAGAAGCTATGTGATGTTACTTCTTAGATCAAGTTGTAAAAAGACCTGGCTCTGTCCTGAGTGCTCTCACTGTCTTGATTGCCCACACTCTGTCTTGATTCTCTTGCTCTAGAAGCCAGCTGCTTTCCCCTAAGTAGTCTTGTGTAAAGACCCATTTGAATGTACTTGAAAGAGAATCTTTTAAGACTTGCCAAGAGCAGATCCTTGTTCAGTTGAGTCTTGAATGACTACAGCCCCAGCCAATAACTGGACTGCAGCTTTCTGAGAACCTGGAGTCAAAATCACACAGCTAAGTCTCTTTGGATAACACTAAAACTGTGAGATAATAACTGTCATTTTAATCTGCTAAATTTGGGGATTAGTTTGTTACCTAGAATAAAAATCGATATACTCTCTTAGGTCTGGTTTATGTTCCCAGAACTCATCTGTAAAAGCTACCACTTACAGAATTCTGGAATATAACGCAGGTTCACCAACATTTATAAAAGGCATGCACCTGTAGCATATGTGTTAGGATACGTTATTTTATGTATTCATGGTTTATGTATGTGTATGTCACTCACATTACTCTCTCCTTTCTTTTAGACATTCTTTTCCACCACCTAGACTGTTCTCATTCAGAAGCTGTTTCTTTCACAAAGACTTTTTACCATCAAGCTAATATCGTCTAATCATCTCTAAAATCCTGTGAGATCTATTCTGCACGGTACATTTCAGCAGTAACAATGCCTTGTGTTGTTTTGTCAGTATTATCTTTTTTTTTTTCTTTTTTTTTTGAGACAGAGTCTCGCTCTGTCGCCCAGGCTGGAGTGCAATGGCGCGATCTCGGCTCACTGCAAGCTCCTCCTCCCAAGTTCACGTCATTCTCCTCCCTCAGCCTCCCAAGTAGCTGGGACTACAGGCGCCCACCACTACGCCTGGCTACTTTTTTGTATTTTTAGTAGAGACGGGGTTTCACCTTGTTAGCCAGGATGACCTCGATCTCCTGACCTTGTGATCTGCCTGCCTCAGCCTCCCAAAGTGCTGGGATTACAGGCTTGAGCCACCGTGCCCGGCCAGTATTATCCATTTTAATATTATTTTAATAAATAAGCTATTAGCTCTTGAAGAGTTATTTGAAGTTAGTTATTTTATAATATTAGAATCATATAGTTTTGTATTAAGTACATATTGGACATTTAATACATCTTTATTAGGTGCTTGTCTTATTCACTAACAATATCAAATTATCTTAAATTTGTGAAGTTTTGAAAAACTTCTGTTTTGCTTTATTATCCTCTTACTTTGTTCTATTTGTGAAGTAGGATTAATACGTTCATATTATGGAATCCTAGTAATGTTTGATTAATCAAGGAAATAATTTAAATATGTATGTGCACATATATATACATACATATATTAGGGAATATAAGCATAAAAATTAACACAATCAGCAATACTCCACTATTATTTGCTAATAAAAAGATGTGTGTGCGTGTGTGTGTGTGTGCGTTTACCATGTCCATTTGAATGAGGTAATGTTAGAGGTAGGTTGGAGGGAGAGAAAGATGCCAGGCTTCACTAGATAGGATGTTCCAATTAGAAAGAGAAGTAAAGATAGTTATTTAGACATAATTTACCAATAGGATACTTACAGTGAAAACTTTAGTTTAACGATTTATAAAATGCTATTTTTCTTTCTAATTTCCCATGGGTCATATGGGTATTTTAGTCAAGGTTGAAGCAAGTAATGGACATTTCAATACAGTATGGGTTTTTCTTTGCTTCATGACTTCATATTACACTTATTAAGGGCCAATTTTAGCCTATTTATGCATATACATAACTCTTTCCTTTATGAGTAACACTCAATTCTATAAGAGTTGTATATAGATTTCCAATTAGAGTATTTCTTAATTATTAGAAATATGTTATGTACCAAAGGAATACTGGCCAATCTTACCTGGTACACATCTAAAGATACAGATAATAAGTATCAATTTGGGAATGAATTAAAGGGAAAATGTAACAAGAAGTGTTCTGCAGGGGTCAGTTCCCAGTTCAGTGCTATTTAACATTTTTCCAATGACCAGGATGATAGAATATCAAGTATGCTTATTAAGTCTGCTGATGACATCAAGTGGAAGAAATAGCTGATATCTTGGAGAATAGAATTAGAATTAAAAGTGACCATAATAAGTGTGAATGGTGGTACAAAATGGAAAGAATAACATTGAATGTATATGCATTCCTGTTGCATACATAATATAGCATATGCAATGTACAGATGAGCTAACAAAGGACAAAGAAAATATAAGCTAACAAGAAAACACCCTTTTTTTAGATCAGAGGAAATAAATCCAATTGAATGTTATTTTATTTTGAAGGTCATCTGCCTTTAACCAAAAGTGAGAAAAATAACAATTACAACAGCAGCAACAACAATATCTTATTCTGTTTTATATTGCAATAACAAAATGCTACAGACTGGATAATTTATAATGAATAGAAATTTATTGGCTCACAGTTCGGGAGGCTGGGAAGTCCAAGATTGAGGGGATAGCACCTGGCAAAGGCCTTCTTGCTATGCCCTAATGTGGCAGAAGGGCAAAGAGGGGGTGAGAGGGAGTAAGAAGGGGCTGAACTCATCCTTTTTATAAGAAACTCACTCCAGCAATAACAGCATTAATGCATTTATGAGGGAAGAGCCCCACGATCCAAACACCTTCCATCAGGCTCCACCTTCCAACACCACTGCATCAGGGATCAAGTTTCCAACACGTGAACTTTGGGGAAACACATTCAAACCATAGCAAAGACAACAATAGAAAGTACTTAGGAACAAATATGAACTATTTATAGAAGAATTTGTCTGTAGCCTTAGTGGCAAGTCAAAATAGCTACCTAGCACAAAGGTGTCATTTCCTTCTGTCCTATCATTTTATAAAGGAAAATTATCTACCTATGATGATAACCACTTAAATGAAAAAGAGAGTAAAACAAGAACATTTAAACATATTTGAATAATCTAGGATTTTTGTTGTTTTTTAAAACTTACTCGGATATTTGTGTGTCAATTTTAACCTCATAAAATGTTCCTTTGTAAATTTTTATTTATGTATGCCGTGTTTCATCAACTAGATTGGATAATTTGGGGATGCAAGGATTGGATCTTTTAGCCAGGCAGAAATCATTCACTATAGGAATCATATTTTTCAAGTGCTTATTGGTTTAATAAAGTTTGAAATGTGGAATTTTCTTTCTAAATTAACTCGGTATTTGAAATAGCATCTGTACAGCCATAACCTGATGCGTCGCCAAGCAAATGGTAACAACAGTGTCTCTTTTATATATCCTAAGTGGTTCCTTTTGGGGACAACAGGTTTGTTACATGTGAATTTGTCTGCACTGTGAAGGTTATTGTGATCATACTAGCAGTTCTCAAGATATCAAGCTCATCGAGAGGGGTGTGTGAAGTCAAAACTATTTGTATAATAATACTAAGTTGTTATTTTCATTTTCTTTCTCTTATAAGTGCATAGCGAATCTTTCCAGACATGTGTTATTGCAACGGATTGAGTGCAAAGTGGATATGAAAACCAAGCTGCCTTCTACTGAACCAGACATTAAGGAGATTTGTAAAACTTTAAAACCTTACCACTTCTCTCACTGATACTTTTGTTTTATAAAATAGTTATTTTTATAAAACCATTAATATGTAGTGGTTTCATTGTTTTTATTGTCAAATAATTAGTTAATATTTTTAAATTTCTTAGTTTTAATTTCTACTAGAGTAAATGTCAGTAGAAATAACCCACAATAACAAAAGTTCTTCAAGGTCCTCGATAATCTTTAAGCATGAAAAAGGATTGGAAAGCAAAAAATTTGAGAACCACTGAATTACCCTAACTGCTTCTAGTTCATTAGAAAGCTCAATTCCAAGAAACCACTTAGGACTTTTCTAGGTAGCCAGGAAGAGGGGCGGATTGGTATAGATCAATAGCTTGCAAACTTGGGTGCACATTGGAATCACCTGGAGAACTTTAAAATGATCATTGATGCCTGGATTTTTAAAAAATCAATTAATTTATTATTTATTAATTTATTTATTTATTGTTTGGCGTTCTGCTTAGGCATCAGGATTTTTAAAACTTTCTTGTGTGACTGTATTTTGCAGAGAAGGTTAGGTATGCATAAGTAGACCTTCCTTCCTCTATGCTAGTCAGGTGGAGGTTTGGACTTCTAGAACACACTATGGCAATTCCACTCCTAATGAGACAGACCTCAAGCAAGCCTCAGATATTTCCTATGCTGTCATCACCAGAGCAATGCCTAGGTTGTCCTAAGATAATATATGCCTCTTTTGTTTTTTAACATTGCTTATGAATTTTAAGTAATTTCTGATTGTCCGTATTTTTCTTCATGATTCACAGTACAGAACTTAACTTACAGTAATCATCATAGTGTTTAATGATTAAATTACAATATACTAAAGTTAAATATTAAGCTCCCGTCTTTCAATGCAATAGCATAGGAAATAATTTGGTATCTTGTAAAAATGTAAATGACTCATAAATTTTCCTTTGTTAGATCAAATCTAAGAAGTCGGGCTAAAATTACATTCGTAAAAGAGCGTGTTATTTTAACTATAAATCAAATAACTGGGTGAGTTTCACCTCTCACCTGCTATTTGGTTATTAAAGGGTTCAGATATACTGGCTCGCTCATGAAGTGGCCAGTTCCATAAAGTCATAGGATGACAACTTAGGATTTCATGGAGAAACTAGGGAATTTAGGTTTGGGTTCTATAACCCCCACTTATTTCGCTCTCTGCCCTTTTTAATATAAACTGCTCATATTGAATTTTGTCACTATCTGTGAGTTTCTTAATTCTTCCATTCACATGACTATATATTAGTCATATAGTACATATACTGTCATTAGTACTAATTTTATAATCTTCAGTACTTAATATAATGATCACATTTTAAAAAATTAGAACAAAATTGAGACTTAAATAATCGATAGCTTTATAAGAGTGGTTCATTTAATTAGTTAATTGGTTCATTAAAATACTTATCAAAATTACTTTTTTTCCAAAAATTTTATGCTTTGAAGGTTATTATTTGAACCATTCACACAAATCTGAGCAAATACTGCTTAAATGCATGTACATCATGGTGTGGTGTTTTCTGAAGAGGTGTGGAATCTTTCGTGAGATAGCATGTACAGATCAAAAGATATTGTTCCATAAATTTTCATTTGCAATTAAAAAGAAAAATTTGTTAGATTGATTTATTTTTTTCCATATCTATGCTCAGTTCCAAGTGTTTCTGTATTATGGAATGATTCTTGATGACTTTGGCAGTCCCTCAAAATCCAGTTTACTGCAAAAGAGGCATCTTTTACTAAAAGATTGTTAATAAAATATTAAATTTCCTATTAAAATATTTTGAATAATTATTCTATATGTGAGTTTATGATGAAAATATAAGAAAACTTTCCTATTATGCACCAAATTAACCCTTTTAAAGTATTAATGCATAGTAAGCTGAAGAAAAATATGTTTACTATGCACATATGCATCTCTATAATTTTTATTAGATAGCTTTGCCTAATTTACATTTTGTATCAATTTCTAAGCAATTAGGGCAGCAAATATCCTGCTTTGTGATTAAAACATGATATTACTGTAAAGTATATCTTGATTTTAGTGTGCCACTTTTTCCTCTTTTTTTCTTGATTACTTTTTTTTAAAATTATGGTATAAAAGATTTTGTGTTTCTTAAACTCTTTCATTCTTTATCACACTAATTTAACTTACTGTTTATGAACTATAGCCTAATATTTCAGTTCTTTAGTAAATAAGCATGAAATACTAATTTTCAACCAGTGAAGCTTCTAAACTGTATTATACACAATTATAAAATAGCAATACAGAAAAACTTTGTTTCACTGTAACGTTCCATGGTTGATACAAAAGTACTCACTAACATATAATTCTCTGGCAAGATGAGTGTATGGAATTAAAAAGACAATCACATAATTAATATTTTAGGAATCAATACACAGGTAAAATACATTTATTAAATAGTTTACTAATTCCTTGCTAGTCTGGATTCTATCTTTATTGTTACTCCTTATTACTTGCTCTTTCATATTTTTTTTTTTTGTCTATTTGTGTACCCTGTATTGCACAATGGTTTAAACATTATAAACAAGCAAGGTTTGGCTTATTTCTCCACTTTTGCTAGCTTATATTTACAAATCCATTTTGGGGTTTCCCCTAATTTTGTGTTGGCTTATGTTTTGATATCACCAACTGTGTTTTTCTCTTTTTATTTCTTAAGTAGGAAAGAATATGTTATATTCCTCGTGGTTGCTTTTTCCTTACAGAATTCCCCTGACTCGGCCCTGACAGATCTTGATATCCAAGAGGGAGTCTGCTCGCAGGATTAAAGGCAAGAACCTCAATTAGACACTCTCTGATTTCTTCAGATGTTTTTTCTAATCTTTTAATATGGGATTATAGGCAGCTAGAACCTATGTTGCTGTTATAAAAATAGTGAAGACTCTTTGTTCTAAATCATAAGCACTTGGCGTTTTAAAAAGTCTATTTTTCTTAATTTGAATTAATTCTGATTTAGATGAGGATAATGAACTTTGGTCAGCTCTTTGCCATTCTGAGTACAAAATAGCTTGATGAGCACTGTGAAGCTCACACACTCTCCTCAGTATCTGCTGGAAAACTCCCTCAGAGACTGATTAGCTCACGCTTGTCACAAATAGGGGAGATAATTATGGGGCTTAACAGTCTATGTGGTGGATCTTTTGAGAGGCAATGGGTAGATCTAAGACTGTCTTTGGATCAACCCTAATTCTTATTATTGCAAATATCTTGTGAGGGTTTTTTTTTTTTTTTTTCACATCCCCAGAGACTAAACATTGTTTCTTCCCGGAGGATGACATCACATTTCTTTTCCAGAAGATAAAATTGTCCAAATTAGATTATCTTTAATTAGTCTAATTTTATGAGCCATTCCATAAAGTTTATTGCACCCGTGCTGGCACCATGTTACAAGATTCTTATTGAATGAACTAATCTTTTGCCATGGAAATGATGCTTATAAACAATGTTGCTGATTTCTTTATTGCAATAAAGATTTCCTTCTCTGAAGCTTCAGGTTTCAATAGCTGTTTTATGGTTCTCAGTAATATCAGATGACTTTGTTTTAATGAGAATGTTGACTTATTCCAAATTTCACTCATTACTAAGTTATTATACTGCAAAATGATTTCATAGCGACAAAAAGCAAATAATTGAAGTTTCAGAAAATTTCATTACTATAAAAACTTATTCAGGATAATGTTTTCTCCTGTTTTAACATAATGACCATCTCTTTCAAAACAGCTTCAGTTTTAGCCTTGCTTTTTTGGTAATAGAACATGTTGTGGGCTCCTATTTACACACCACATGACAAGGTCCCATACATTAAAGGGTAGGTTCTAGAGAGATAGATAAAACAAACTACTATCACTAGAAATAATGTACTATTTATTAAATCCATTTTTCTGCCTTGGTTGCCATTTGCTTTCAACTTTATCTGGGGTGTTTCGTTCCTCCCCAAAAATATGCTTAGATTTTAAATAGAATTGTTTTAAATTGAATTTTAAGTTGTTTAAAATGAATTACAGCCTCTAAATTAGAATTGTTGACAAGATGATCCTAATAAAATTTCAAATCACATGAAAATGTCTTGTGATTTAAATTTCCTACCCCTTTAAATCCTGTTAAAATCCTTCATATCAAGTCTCTCACTCTTTATTTTAAAAATTTCAATTGTTTATGACCTGAGTCAAATCCCTTAATTTTGGGGGTTTTTGTGTTCTGATCTTCGTAATTAGACAATTGCAAAACATAGTTTGAAAACTCACAGCTCTAGAACACTGTGATTCTGTGATATAAAATTCTGTTGCTCTCCGGAGACTCTTTTATTCCCAGAAAATGTTGTCTAATTGTTCACAATTAAAGGAATCAACTTTTGGTAAAGGGCTCATCAGCTTGTTGAGTGATTATGGTAACCTAGAGTTGTGAAAGTTCTGACAGAACTATTTAAACACGAGATCCAGTTACTGAGACCCTTTTTTTTTTTTAAATAATAAGCTTCCACGGTGGGGGGAAAGCCTTCACTTTTAAATGGAATTGGCGACTTTTTCCTTGTAGTAACACCTTCAAATTGGAACAAGATAATTATTCCCCCCTCTAAAATATATGAGAGTGAGGATCCTTAATTGCTTCACTCAGTTACAATGTAAGCAGAGGAAAGACCTTGTTAACATGTTGTTGTATAAAGCTGAGGGAAGAACATGTTGTCACATAAAGCAGAGGGAAAAACTTGTTGTCCTATCAGAATAAATGCATCTATTTCATAGGATTTTCTATAGAATGAAAAATGAGAGAGGTCATATACTTGTTCTTCTTTTATGACTTCACTGGAAAGAAAAATATATATACATTTCAAACAGAAAACTTACATTTGATAATTTGCATTGTAAATTTACTTAATAAATCTAGAAGAAAAAATGAGATGATGATAATTAGCAATTTTGGACGATTTTTAAAAGTAAAAAACTATTTCATCAGAGAACTTGGAGACTTAATAAAGTGATAAATCACAGTATGTTTTTGGGCACAAAGGCCAGTTCTTCACTTTGTCTTTTCTTCATAGTTTTGTTGTTGTTGCTACCTTTCACCCTTTCTATTACCTTCCTAATATTTGGATTTAAAAGGAAGAACATAGCTGCTGGTTTCTGTCTGACTTGGTTTGCATAACTAGAGAAGACTGACACTAGGTTTTTTCCACAGGGCAATTGAGGCTTAGTCAATCAGACTCAATGAGCCGCACTTCATTGATTTTTGGATCTGAGCTGCAATGGCGCCTGTTACTGTGAGCCACCCTGGTGTAGCTGACCAAGGCCTCTAATCCTCTTAAGCAGCAGTCAAAAAATTGAGATAAAAGCTAGCAATTCAACTGGTTCAAATAACAGATTTGACAAATTAGGAGGGTTCAACCCTGCAATGAAAAAAATTCAGTCTTGGTGGTTATTATATGCTATGTTGCAACAACATAGATGAGATAAAAATCAGGTCATTGCAAACAAATGATTAGATATGCTAATAAAAGGAGTAATTTCCTTCATTTGGTAAATGCCATGAAAAAGAAATTGCGATATAAATAATATGTTGGTTTAACAGAGCTGAAATCATTAGGACTCCAAAGAGTCAAAAGTTAAATATTGTGAAATGACAATTTCTGTCTTTTTTGCATGGAAAAAAAACCATGAAAAATAAAAATAAGGTCTAAAGAAATATTACTTTCCATGTTATACCCCTTTAACCTAATGACATGTTTAATATACTTCTGTCAACAAATGAAACATAGGAACGTGAACAGTTTCCAAACCTGTAAATATGAATAGTGGAAATATTTATGCTGCATTGACCATTCAAATGAACTAAATCCAGCCAAACTATTTATGTGATAATTATATTCAATTCACTAAATTTCTTTTCCTACTCAGTCACAATAAATGAGATTCCTGTTTGAATGGACACAGACAATGGAAGTTGAATAAAAATTATCTTCTACCCTTGATGCTATCATAGATGTCACTCTCAAATCATTATCCCACAATTTGTTCATAAATAGCATACGATGTCCTTCATATGTATAGGAGGAAGGAAAACCTCTAAAGTTTAATCTTAGCTAATATTTTATTTTTCTATTTATCTTAAAGAAAGAGAAATAAAGCAGAATATCCACATCAAAAGAAGGCAAAGTACTCTCATTTTTGTGAATTTTATAGTTATTTGCATGCATGTGAGTAAGCTGTACTTCCCAAACACTTAATCATTTTAAGTATCTTTTTTCCCTTTTTTCTTCTCTATCTTTGTACACTCAATACTTAAAATAATACCCAGAACATAATAAGTTGCTTGATACTTGCTTTCCTGCTGAATGAATAAACAAATAAAATCAAGTACTTTAACATAGACGAATTTGAGGAAAGGAAGTTGTTTTATGGGGAATTTTATAGTTCCCATTTCACACGATAATGACATTATTTCCTTGGGACAAATGATATAACATACTAAGTTTCTACATATTTAGACAATAGACTATTTTCTAATGACTTGAAAGTTAATATTTGGCCAAACTTACCAGTCACTACTTTATGTGGAGTCATTACTACCATATGTGCCTTGTGACCAGATAATCAATCTAATGTGTCTATATATTTCCGTCACCTTACTTATATGTGGTAGGAACGTAACAAATATTTAGTTAAATGAATGGATGTGTAAATGAGTAAATAATTGTGTGATCAACTGAATACCTCCAATATTAGTTATATCCATTACACAATTGCATTGAAGAACTGTAGCTAATTGGTCTCAATCTGCAGCCTAGGGAGTAAGGGCAGTTGAGGGCAATCAATACCTATTCAATTTAATTCTCCAAACATTTATTGAGCAGGTATTGAGCATGTGTTCACTCTCTACAAAATTCTATGGCTGATCCTTTGGGAAGGTACATAGATATGAGGAATTTATGTATAATAAAGAGACCAATGAATAACAAAAATATGCTTGAGACTATATTAAACAGACATGCCTAATTAAGCCACCAGATGTTCTACAAAGTGAGGAGGATGATAGAATATGTGTAACTAGTTTTTCAGATAGGTGCTTGAAATCCTTGAGTGAGTTGAGATACAAAGCTGGCCCGGTACCTGCTAAATTTGCACTGTTCCTGATTTATTACCTTATTTGACCATCAATCTGTTCTGAGACCTACTTTTAAATAAAAATACCCTGACGAGAAGTGAAACACCAAATTTCCAGTCTTTCCAATATTGGGTGCCTCCTTTCTTTCATTAGAACCACCTTCTCCAGCAAGGAGGCTTTGGGACTTAGGACACAAGGAGAAAAACCTACACTAACAAGAGAAAAAATAAATTTAATAGAGGGGATGAGGGTTTTCCAGGAGTAGCTTACCTAATTTCCAGATGCTTGTCCCTAGGTGATAGTAGAAGAAGATAATCTCATCATTAGGAGCACAAAGCGCTCTCCATCTAGTTCATAGTTTTCCCAGAGTTGGAATATCCCTGCCCTGGGCCATTAACGGTTTCTTGCAAACGAAAATAAGATTAATATATGCTTGATGACTATTATTAATTTAATTACCTAACAAAGTTACTTAAATAATGCAAACAATCATATTTTAATTAAAGAAATTAAAGTCCCAAATAATCACACGTCCTTTGTCTTTGTTAACCTAAAATAGGGGAATGAAATTTGCTGAATCTTGTACTTTCACCATCTATTGAAGAAAATTCCAATAAATACTCATCAAATATTCCCAAAGGAGACTTTTCAGGTAAAAGATGTCAATATGCTGATCAAATCAATGCAAGAATAGTACACCTGATTATAGCTCTTCAGAAAATATATGTTTATATAATTTAATGAGAATGGAATAATTTGACCACAAGAGAATCTTATTACTGTAGTTCATTATTTGACATCATAAACAAAATTGCCAGAGTCAAAGGTCATGCTTCCTGAATTATAAAATGACAATTAAAGCCTGCTATAGAAATCAGCTCTAAATCACTTTAAAAAATGAATGTGTGACGAGACAAAAAAGCATTTAAATTAGTATAAAATCACTAAAATCACTAAACAATAGCAGAGTGTTACTATCTGGGGCAAAAAAAAAAAAAATGAAGTATTACCTTACGGTTGACTTCATGGTGTAGACCCTTTTAGCTAGTCATAAGAAAATGGTGGTGTCCCAACTGTCAATCTTTGCCTTACATCTTATCTTTTATCACTGCAGTGAGAAGTCCACCATTTATTAAACTTGATATATGCCAAGTGTTTGCATCCTCACAAGAATCATGGAAGGTACATATTATCATCAATATTTTACAAATGTATAAATAGCCAAGCCAGGGGTTGAGTGTAGATCCATCTGATGCCAAAACTATATATATATATATTTAATTACTTACTTCTGTCTCTCAATTAAAATGCAAATATTTTATTTCAAATAGAGCATAAACGTTTTGAGATCAAGATCTAGAACTAGGCCAGGCACGGTGGCTCACGCCTGTAATCCCAGCAGTCTGGGAGGCTCAGGCGGGCGCATCACAAGGTCAGGAGATCAAGACCATCCTGGCTAACACGGTGAAACCCCATCTCTACTAAAAAAAAAAAAAAAAAACTTAGCCTGGCACGGTGGCTGGCGCCTGTAGTCCCAGCTACTCAGGAGGCTGAGGCAGGAGAATGGCATGAACCTGGGAGGTGGAGCTTGCAGTGAGCCGAGATCGTGCCACTGCACTCCAGCCTGGGGGACAGAGCGAGACTCCATCTCAAAAAAAAAAAAAATCTAGAACTAATAAGGAGGATGGGATGCCCCTCTTTCTTCCGAGGCACAGCACTTGAGAGCTGGGTGACATATAGGGTACCCAGCTATGCAGTTCCCACATGTCCTGCAAGTGTTTCTTGCCTACACTGTATCAGGTGCTGTCTGACTCTCGGGGTTTATAGCAGCACATACAACCGACAAAAATCCTGGCCTTTGTGGAACTTAAATTCTAGTGGGGAAGACAATAAATAAAGTAAATACATGTGTTATACTTCAGATGAGAAAAGTGAAGTCACTAAGGCAGGTGAGATTGAGATTTTCATTAGGGTAGCCAGGCCAGTAAAGGGCACTTTTAAATAAAAATCTAAAGTGAGAGAGCAAATTGTGAGGAGAGCTAGTTGAAACACATTCCAGGAAGAGGGAAGACCAAAGCAAGCTCTCTGAAACAGGAGCCAGCTTGATACATTTATGGGACAATAGAGAAACAAATGAGTCTGGAAACAAGTGAGTGAGAGAATAGCAGAAGATGAGTTCAGATGGATGACAGGTAGCCACATCATGTAGGGCCTTATAAGTCGAGAACATACCTGGGCTTTTATTCTGAATAAAACTGGAAGGCATTAGAAAGTATTGAACACAGGAAATATATAATTTGACTTTAGCTTGACAGGAGCTCTGCAACTGCTGTGTTGGGAGTAGATGGAAATGTGCAGAGGCAGAAGCAGGGAGACCAATTAAAAGACTATTGCAATAATCCTGGCAAGATATGACAGTGGCTTGGACAATAGAGATAGCCTTGGAAAGAAAGAGCAGTGGTTGAACAGAATTCTCTGACTGATTGGATATGAGATACAAACAGGAATGAACTCAAGTGTGACACAAGTATAGCCACACTTGATTGACTACAAAAACAGAGTTCCCATTGGCTAAATTCAGGAACATAATACTTCAGATTTGCATTGCAAGACATCTGTCACCAAAACTCCACGAGGCACACATTGTCTAATGGGTAACAGCAAAGTACTATAGGGCCAATCTTACCATGGCATGCCAAAGGCTTTGTTTTTATTGCTCACATATTTTCCCTACAATAACTATAGAATCATGGGTCTACATCTTTCATCTAGGTTCAGCTACCTTTAAAATTGGGGGAAAGTTGTGAATTCTTTCCCCAGAAAGATAAGATTTGTCACACATGTAGAAACTTGCATCCCGTTGCTGGGGGTGTGGATGAAGGCATTTCACAGAATTTACAAAGACATCTATGGGTTCCTGTTTAAGAAGCTCTGCCAATGGCTTTTTTTTTTTTTTTTTTTTTTTTGAGATGGAGTCTCACTCTGTCGCCCAGGCTGGAGTGCAGTGGCGTGATCTCGGCTCACTGCAAACTCCGCCTCCCGGGTTCACGCCATTCTCCTGCCTCAGCCTTCCGAGTAGCTGGGACTACAGGCGCCCGTCACCACGCCCGGCTATTTTTTATTTTTATTTTTTAGTAGAGACGGGGTTTCACCATGTTAGCCAGGATGGTCTCGATCTCCTGACCTTGTGATGCACCCGCCTCGGCCCCCAAAGTGCTAGGATTACAGGCGTGAGCCACTGCGCCCAGCCAATAGCTTCTTCAATAGGAATTTTCCTACCTATCTTTTGAGAAGCTACTCACCTTTGCTTCTAAGGCGAGTGCTATCCACACTGTGTTTTATCACCAATAGGTTTCTTCATGAGATCATTTGTGTCATAATGAAGAGCTAGTTGCGACCCGGACCACAGTGTGAATTTTCAGCTTCCTGCAAGCAAGTTCTTTAATAACTAAAAAAACCTCACTGCTTATCACAATAATTTATTTGAGAATGAATTTTTATTACTGCTCCTTATCACTTGATAAATTATTTCCTTCTAAGTGCCCCCAGTAGGGTTAGAATCTGCACAATCTTATGATTTAACTTCTTTTCCAGGGATCCAGAGGGGCAAAATAAGAGTTTGGGAGTTAATGATAATTATTATATCTGTTTCAAAAATTTACCCCTACCCTTTTATTTCAGTTAATTAACCCAATGACTAGTGACTACTAAGTACACTAGGTATCACCAGTGTGCTAACTAAGTGCACAAGATAAGGTGAAAAAATGCAAGAATAATACAACCTACTTGAAGAAATAAAACATAAACATCCAAAATATTTAATATGAACTCCCTTGTTTGGCTACGTGGTAAGAGTTGTTGAAAATAATGACTAATATAAGACTTCAAATATGGCAAGCAAACCTCTCAATATCTTCACCCTCCTTGCTTTCACAGAGCTGCTTATGTCTAAGATCACCACTCATCTACCCTTCTATTAAATGGAGGCTGCTAATTTCCCAAGCTTCCTGAAGCTTTGATCAAGACATCGATTAGGTATCCAACTCTCTACTGACATTATTTTTCAGTACTACTAAGTCTCTACTTTACCACCCATTTGAAAATTTTCATTTGCAAAACAAAAAACAAAATTAAAAAAAAGCCACTACACTATATCATAATTGCAAAAAAAAATGTTACATGGTAAAAACAAAAGTATAGCAGGTTTGCCCACCATTTACACATGATTACATGTGGTTGGTTGTATTCTCTTTGAAATTCTAAGTAAACTGACCTGCAAACAAGTAAACTGTTCATAGGAAGGAAGCTTTGAAGTCTGAATCACCTTTAGGTTTGACTATCTTATCTACCAGAAGACTAACTCTCATATGGTGGGGAAGATAGTCATTTTATTCATAGTTGAAGCCTCAGAGCTGAAAGTAGGGCTTGGTACATGTTAGGGCATTACCCAATTAATTTTTTGCAGTTGCCTGCCTACTTATTCTCTAGACTTATTTTATTTTCTTGGGAAAAATCTAAGCCATGATCTCTATTACCACTATAGCGGTCATGTTTTGTACCACATGATTCCACCTCTTTCCCATGCTTGCTAACAATTCTCCTATCTTTTAAGAAGCCACTCCTCTTCCATTGTCAGTTATTTGGAGGAGAGAGGGTCGATTTACCTCTCAAATTAATGGCTGGGTTCTAATGAGCTTAAGCAAATTTTTGTTTGTTTGCTTTTTCAAATAATTTCACTTCCTACCCCAACCTCTGCGGTTGGTTTAGAAATGGATCTGTAATTTTTCCTAAAGCCCATGAGATAAAAGTTTCTGAGAGAGAAAAGTTATTTCTTCCTTGGGCTCTGCTAGAAGCGCTCATTCTCTTCCCCAGGGATAGTTGGTGTATAGATAAGTGATCCGATACTGTAGCAGGCTTTGTTAATACTATGAGAGGAAAGTCTGGATTTGCCAGGACTTTACCATATGGAATGTGAGAACAAAACCAACTATAAATAAGACAAACAGAACCACTGCACTCACAGAGCTTGTATTTACTATATACATGAATTGTCATTGTGGATTTTATAGTTTTCTAAAAATTATGTGAAGTAATACATCTCTCTATTAAGTCAGTTTTACTTTGTCACTTACAACACAAAGAATCCTAACTGATGCAGTACCTTGCCAATAAACTTTCTTTTTTCTCCCTGAGACAACTTGAACTAGTTCCTTTTTCTTGCAACTAAAAGACCCCTGACTAAAACACAGTGGTTGAGAAGAAGGAAAGGATATTCTCAGCTGGAATAGCATGGTTTCAAGGAGGTTGGGGCTTGATGTTGGTTTCAAGGGTGTGTTAAGAATAGCTCTTATTTTAAAAACCAACTATGTGCTAGAGTTTTTTATTTCTCATCTCTACTTCCCACCTCATTGCTGAAATACATTATTAAACACATTTTACAGATGAGAAAACTGAAGTTATATGCATCTAAATGACTCAAAATAGTATAATTAGTAAGTGACATAGCTGGGATTAAGCATCGGTTGGCTCTAATGCTAATCATGACTGCATTGTGCTGACTCTGGACTGAGTTAGACACATACTGTTTATCAAAGTTTTTTAGGTTATTGGCTTTTGGGTATAAGAACATAATTCCTTTGCTTGAACCTGGGAGACGGAGCTTGCACTGAGCCAAGATCGCACCAGTGCACTCCAGCCTGGGCAACAGAGCAAGACCCCATCTTGAAAAACAAACAAACAAAAAGAACATAATTCTTCACATAATTCTTTATTATGCAGGATGGCCCCATCCATACATTGCAAGATATTTAGAATCCCTGGACTCCTCTTTATATGAATCTTATTCACTTAAGATACAAAATTGCCCTACATATTTCCAAATAACTTCCTAGGTGGCAGTATTAGGCCCAGTGGAGAAATACAAGTAGTAGATGAGAACAAGAGAGCACATTTTAGATGTGAATGAAGTTCAACTTAAGAGACAGAAATTTGCGCGGCAAAGTTTAACAGACTCGAATATCCTGGCCTTGGTCAAAATGTACATCATAGCTGGGCACAGTGGTGCACACCTGTAATTCCAGCTACTGGGAAGGGTGAGGCGGGAAGATACCTTGAGCCCAGGTGTTTGAGACCAGCCTGGAGAACACAGTGAGAGTCTGTCTCAAAAAAAGAAAGAAAAAGAGGATATCACAAGATGTAGTAGAAGACAATACTGGAAAGACTGGAACAAGGTGGTGGAAGGCTTGCATTGACACATTTTTCAGACATTCTTTAACAGATGACAGGAAGCCTTTGAAGGTAGCACAAAGCTGCATTAAGTTCAGGTTTTAGAGTCATGCAGAGTTTGATCTAATTCCAGTTCCCTCACATCTATCCATTCATTATTTAATCCATTCATTCAATCTATATTTTTGATAACCTACTGTGCGCCAGGCACCTTATTAGGTGCTGAGGACTCAATGAATGACAATCACAGTTCCTGCCCTCATGAAATTTACAGACTACTATATACATAAATTGCCTATTGTTTATTATGTACATCTACTACACACATAATAAACATTAGTCTACATGGAGATTACAGCCTACTACATATATTTTAGACCTTTCAGAGCTTCAGTTTCCTATATTAAAGATAGGAGGTATTATATAATACTTTTTGTGAGAATTGGCAATAATGCCTGTAATTTATCTGAAACACATGTGCTCAATTAAGTGTGGCCCTGTTAGAAAAGGAATATGTTGAAAAGTTTTTTTTGAAAATTCTGTTGAAGAAAACTTTTCAACATATTCCTTTTCTACAGGGCCACAAAAAAATTCTGTTGGAACGCCTGTAATCCCAGCACTTTGGGAGGCCAAGGTGGGTGGATCATGAGGTCAAGAGATAGAGACCATCCTGCCAAAATGGTGAAATCCCATCTCTACTAAAAATACAAAAACTAGCTGGGCATGTTGGTGAGTGCCTGTAGTCCCAGCTACTCGGGAGGCTGAGGCAAGAGAATTGCTTGAACCCGGGAGGCGGAGGGTGCAGTGAGCCCCGAGATCGCGCCATTGCACTCCAGCCTGGGTGACAGAGGGAGACTCTGTCTCAAAAAAAAAAAAAATTCTGTTGAAAATTGTTATGGCTGTCAATATTCGGTAATGATTTAAAAACATATTACCTTTTATTTTCCTATTTGAAATGGGAGAGGAGGGGTAAATGTGCATCACCAAGAGGACATACGTGTATGAAATGTTTAGTACCTGCTTAATATCTATATAGTTCTCCCCAACTCCCACAACCATGAAGAAGAGAAAAGTCTATAGATAATAGGATTTCACCTAAAGCAAAATTAGTGGTTCCTTGAGGGCATTTTGCAATCTTCTCAATGTGTTTGCCTTAAAATAACTTGTTTATATACCTATTTCACATGTTAAAATGAGGATTTGTTGTGAGAAAGATTGTGTATTTCTAACCCCAATGCTTGGATTAATAAATGTTTCATTAATTAAAAAAAATAAAACTCTTCTTGTAGCTTTTTACCAAGTACTAAAATTCCTTTTAAATTTGTGCTGGCACTATGTCTCTCAGAGACACAATGAGCAGGTTTTCTGCACAGCTTTTGTGGACACAGAATGTACAAGAACTACATCTTCGTTGCTTTAAACTATTGAAATTTCTGAGATGTTTCCATACCATACTGTAGTCCATCCTAATTTTATATTATAATTGGAAATTTTCCAAAGATTTTGAGATTTAGAAATGCTAAATGTTTAAGTGTTTCCTGCCAATCTATCCAAAATATTTTTCTGAGATTGTCTAGAAGATATCTGCTTTAAAGTGCTAATTCATGCAAAAGAGTATTGTATAATGTAAGTTGTCAAAATGAGATACGTTAACAAAAATTCATTTTTCACTTTTTATTTTTAACCAGGTTAGCTATTGGAGTTGCATGTATGCAACTATGCATATATAGTGTCTGTCTCATTCATTATAAGTAATCATAAATGGTGAAAAATGTTTCCAGCCTAATAAACAACATGGCATTACAAAAAAGTTAAAATTAAAAAAAAAAGTTCTGCTAGCAAATGTAGGTATTTAACCGTAGCTCTCCTTGAAGCGTAAACTATAGAAACCCTAGAGGTAATTGACTCCAAAAAGGGAACTGGTGGTATTAAGCCTACCCTATTCCTTGCTCCTTTGACATTACCTTTTTTCTTCAGTTGAAGGCAAATTTCATAAAACAAATTTTTTGTCCAAATATGAGTGGTTCATTTTTCTAACAGCCTAGAAGGGACGATCTCCTAAAGCAAAAAATAATTTTAGAAAATGCAAACTGTTATTTCCTCAGTGGTCACATCTGTGTTTCTCTCTCTTCTATTCCACAACATTCCTCTTCATTTCTGGATTTTAATCACACAGCCCCAGCACAGAGATTGGTCTAGGGTGAGCACCTGACCAAGATGGACCAGTCATAGAACCTCCTTCCCACTGAGACGAAGCTGTTACGCAGGGGTAAAGGAAAAATGAGAAGTAGAGAAGGGATTGATAACATTCAAGTCTCTGATGCCTGGGTTGCTGTTTCATGACTGTTGTTCCAGCAGTTTCATTATAAGAGCCAATATATTCCATGTTTTGCCTAATTTAATTTTAGTCATGGCAGCAACCCTTGACAATTAAGGCAGTCTTACATCCTAAGTAGTACAACTACCCAGTTTTAAAGTTTACTTTTCTGTCACCCACTTATTCCACTCAATCAAAAAATTAGATGAATAAAGTGAAGCTAGTGGAATTAGACCAGTGAAATTAGCACATGTCAGAAACATCTGGAGTTTGATTATAAACACAGATTGCCAGAACCCTACCTACCTAATGAGTTTCTGATTCAAGGTCTGTGGTCAGGGGAGGAGGGCTGAGAATTTACATTTCTAATAAGTTCTCAGGTATTGATGGCCCAGACTCCACATTTTGAGAACCACTGAATTATATTAAAGTTACGATACAACACTATGCTGTCTTCCCAAAATGCGATTCCTGAAGCTCCATGCAATAATACGCAACAGGTTGTACTGCATAAAAAAAGAGGAACATTATCTAGGATACTGGATTAAATAATAAGATAAATAGACAATGTCACTGTAGGACCTCTCCAAGGTTTTAGTATACTAATATGCAAATCTTTGAGAGGTGGAATGTAGTATGAAATGTTTCCTAAACTTGTCTGACTTTGGAAACCCACTCTTTTATTGCAAAGCATGTCTTACAACTAGTGTGGATTGTATAGAAAATACACTGAAACACACAGATTTTAAGAAAGGCAAATGTTTCTTAGGAACCAGAAAGGAAGGAGCTTCTGAAACAGAAGGTGGAAACTGATATTGTCAAAAACTGTAGCTAAACAATGTGTTAAAAGACACATGCTAAGTTAGATCATTACCTATATATGCATATGTATAATACTAAAGAAATTGAATTTCATAAAATACAGGCATTGGCATATACAAATTTTTAAAGATAAAGCTGGACACTTTACTATTTTCTTATAATTCCTTTCTTCTTTTAAATGACAAAAACTAGACAATTTCCAATCACTTCCAGCTTTAGTTGTACTTCTCTGCTGGATAAACGACAGGAAGCCTTTGAATTGAATCAAGAGCTTGGTTATTAGTGACGCTCATAATCTGTTGTGCAGCACAGAAACACTGGAAGCACACCACTGACCCATGTAGGAGCAAGTGCTGCCACTCTTCAATAGCTCAATTCCCCTCAACAATAAGTAGGAGCTGAGTTTAGCGCAGATGAAACCAACAGGTTGTAGAAAGAAAAAAACAAAACAACTAAAATTCCCATTAAATCCAGTTTACCTCTCTGGACCAGGCTGCAGATAAAGCAGCTAAAATAGATGCCTGGTTGTAAAAGTCTTTAAGAAAAAGAATTGTTTCAAATTAAAACATTCTGAAGGCCCTGATCTTTAAATTTGTTTAATAGCATTTTCAATAGACATTTTTGTACCTTAGATGTTAATAACATGTTTAAGCTATGTTCCCTTCTCTTATATTGGTTTAAAGAACAATAATGAACCACATATAGAATTTTCCTCTTTTTCAATCAATGTACATATTGAAAGACTTCTCCTGGGTAAAGTGTAAGGTAAAAAACTTCCTAAGGAATTCGAAGTCTCTGGACAGAGAAACTAAATCACATCACATAACAATTAAGTTGACCAAAAAAAAAATTGTCTTGTGAATCTTGCTCTGGGGAAATCTGAGTATTTAAGATGTGGCTGAGAGAGCCTAGAGCGCTAGAGAGCACAGAAAGTCCCAGAGGGAGTCCAGAAAACCCCAGAAGCATTTGAACTTGCAAATTTTTCTTCTCATCAAAAGTGAAATAACTGTTCTCTCAGACAAGTCATGGGACAAGGTTTCATTACAAGCCATGAAGGTTTATATATGTGGGTTTGTACCTTACATGATGTTCTGATGGTGAATCTCTAAACGTTAGAAGCATCCTTAAAATTCATTGTGCTTACCCAGAGTCTCTAGCAAGTAGAACCATCCATAAATCAATGCAAATTATAAAAAATGTGAAAATTCAGCAGTTCAGTGGATTTGATGAACATTTCAAACTAGTTTTTAAACATTGAAGATTCAATACGATTGAAAAAAAGCTAACACAAGAAATTTAATTCTTTACTGATGATGTTTACTTGTGAATACTTTTCCCTGCAGTGGAATTTTATCTACGAATGTGTGCATTTTGAAACAATAGCTAAGAGAAATTTGAAGAAATTTAACATAGAAATTTAGATATAATGATTAGTTATTTTAAAGCAAAGTTACATTTTTATGTATAGTTGCTAATGATACTTTCCCAGAATGGTGGGGAGAAAAAGGGAATTAGGTACCTTTGGAAAACCCTACGACAATATTAAAAAAAAAAAACTGGGCTAAAATACCTAAATCTACCTACTGTGGATTCCATTCTGTCACTTGTGAAAAGAAGTAATTGGCCTAGAAGAATCCAAAGGGCTCTTACATCGCTAAGAATTTATACAGTAGTAATTATTCAAAAAAATTACAGTAGTAATTATGGTAGTAATTTTTTCATCAAAATAAATTGCAAATAATTCTACCTCAGTTAGGGTAGGACATTTCAAAATTTGGAACCTATGGTCTTAGAAACAGAGTCAATCACTGTGGATTTAAACAAAATACATATGGGGTTACAGCATCCAAACACATTTCATCTATTGATACTCATTTATTTCTAATAGTCATGTTTTTTATTATTTATAACCTATTGAACATGTCATAGTCTCTAAAATAAAATAAGATTATTTTTGAAATACGTGTATTAAGTGTAATAGAATTGAAAACATTATATAGTGAAATAATAGGGAGTTACAGTTCTCAAAAGATATGTAACTTGAGACTTCAATGGGACACAGTATGATAATTACCAGAATAAATGTAGGACTAAATCAAATCTCTTGTCTCATCAGAAAGTACATGGGACTACAAAGACAGGAAGTAGCTACTGAACTGAATTGCTTCTACGTGATTATTTCAGGTGGTAGTGAAGTGGTAAGACATCATAAAGTCATTAACACTAAATCTTGCCAGAGATGACAAAATAATTTAAGATGCCACGCTTCCCACCTCCAGGGCCTTCAAGGGAGGTGGGAGCACAAACAAACAAAAACAAGCAAATATTTTGCGTGAGTCCGTATGTAAGCATATCTGTACGTGCAGGCATATATAAGTAATGACTCCTAGCAAGAAGACTGCAAGCCTGTGTGCCCAGTCATGGAAAACTGAGCTCATATTTTCAAAACGAAGACATACTGGGCAGCAGGAGGAGGCCTGACAGAGAAGCAGCACCACTTTCAAAACTGGAGGCACACGTGCTGTTGCCTCCTCCACAGAAGGACGGTTCTAGCAAGAGAATACGGAGTGGGATAGAAAATTTTGCAAAAGTCACATAATCAATGGGCAAGCACCTCTCTTCCCCTGGGTATGAGCATCTCCAAGGAATGGAAGCACAGACTGGAGACAGGAGCCCCGCTGAATATTCTAGGTCCTAGAGTCCAAGGGCTTCCCATTTCTTCTGTATTTTCCATCATCAGAACAGAAGGATTTTGTAATTAGATGTGGATATTGAGCTTTGATATTATCCCCATCTTTATCCTCTGATAGAAATGAAATTCCCACTCATTTTATTTTAATGACGTCTTTGATCTTTCAGAGAATGGAAAAGTTGGAACCTTTAACTTTTGGCTAAAGGAATTATCTGGCCAAAACCTCTTTACTTTACTTTACAGGTAAGGACACTGATATCAAGAAAAGAAACTTTCCAGAGCCCTTTCTCCAGTTTCTTTCCTCTAAGTCAATGCTCTGTGATCTTTATTAAGATATCTTATCTTACCACTTTATTAAGATATCTTATCATACATATGCTCCATTAAAAATTAAAAACTGCTTGTTGCCACCAATATGAGATTGTGTACTCCTAGATTTTTTTTAGCATTGATATCCCTCTCTTTTAGGTTCTAACAACCTAAGTTACCTAGTATATAAAATTTAAGCGACCAGAGAGTGGATCTTATCCTAATAATCTTGAGGGCATACTGATTTCTTTTGATATCTACTCACTACAAGGGATGAAAAGTAGCTTAAACTTGGCTGAGGCAGAAGGCAGATGGACAAAGAACTTTTGGGGCTTCGGGTATAGCCTTTAGATTGATTGTTCAATCAGGAATAAAGTTACAACATTGTCCCCACAAAGATCTATAAAATATTTATTCTATGTTATGTTCTTTCTTAAAGTTACAATAAAAAGAGGTCTCTTACACAATACCCAGAGCCCACACGTGAGAATGATTGAGGAAGAAGCTGGACTCAGTGTAAAACTGAAGCTGAAACTCAGAGCAGGCATTGCACTTTTGCATATAAAACCAGAGCAACACTATAAGGAAATATGTAGCCCAAGGTTATGAGACATCAGTGATTCATTTATCATGAAAAAAGGAAAAAAATAGAAATATCTCATTGAATATTATCGGTCTCAAATTTTGCAATGGATTTATGACTTTATTTTAGTAAAGAGGGTAATAACAATGTCAGTTATGATGCCATATTTTATATGTGTAAGTATGCCTATAGTTAATAGAATTCATCAGGCAGTAGGTTTGGGTACTATTTAAAACATGGGTCAGAGGGGCATTAATTCTATTCAAAGTGTCCATCTGTTGCTGCCCAACTTGCACGGAGGGTTGCATAGCAACCCATAGTACTGCATGGATATGGTTGGCCTCCCTCTGTTGCTTTTGTTTGCCCTCTGAGAGAGTTGCCCTTGATGGAGAAACAGTAGGTGTTCTTTTATTTATATATTTATTTATTTTTTGGCTGGAGCCTGGCCTGGTGAGTGGGGGCTCCTTATAGCCTACTGAGCTAGATAGCATTGTGAGGCAATATCTGACATATGAATGTAATTTATCTTCCTGGCATGATTCTTCATCCCAAACTGATCCCCAAATTCCTAGGACTGCGGAAGTATAGCAATTAAAAAGAAAATATCAGGACCTTTTACTGGTATATGCAGGAAAAACACACGGCAGAGCAGGCAGAGGGAAGGTTTGGAAGCTTGACTCCATTTTGTGGCACTTAAAGTTATAATACTCAATTTCAGCATATTTCTGAGCATCTGGTTTTCTCAAATCTATATACCATGAAATTTGTTAAATGAAAAGATTACTTAGGAAATCAGATGTTCTTAAAGGCGTCTTTGCAACTTGTATCAATTCTAAATACAGTACTTACATTTTCTTGAACATTATTACATGTTTTAGCTACTCAGTAAAATTTGCAATGAATCTAAGCATCTGTAGTCTTACATAAAATAAGCATTCACTTGGCTTACATTATTTCTAGTATCAGCTGTAATTTCAGGATGGACCAAACAGCTCCTGTCTCCTCCTTGGACATCATGGATATGACTATAGGCCACTGATAAATAATAGTCTTAACAGATCATCAAGATTCAAAACTATCAGTAAGGGGCTCTTGAAGAAAGAAAATATTTTGAAAGAACTGAGAACGGTGTATTTCTAGAGAAACTGTTACAGTGTACTAATAGAAGAATGTAATCAGGATACCAGAATATTTTCTGTTTGTCAGTTGTTACAACTCAACTTAGCTGTTTATACTGTTTTTCAAGGCACAGTTTCAGAGATGCTCTTAAAAAAATCTCTGACGCATCTATTTCAACCTTAAACAATTTTAACTTATAATACTTTCAGTTAATAATCTTTAAACTAACTTTTAATAAGGTCCTGATTGCCACGGCAACCTTGAGCACACTTCCGAGGTATTTTCTGGAGGAGGTTGGTAATATGAATAATATTCTCACCTTCATTGTTATTAAAAATCTGGTTTCCAGATGCTGAATTTCTTAGTCATATAGTCTCTGTATGACCAGAATTACTTGTTTTCCTATGTGTCAGAGAAACTGCAATGGCCCTGAGCAGAGACGGATCTCAGATGCGGGGCTGGCTCACAATGAGATATCAGGTGAATTCCAGCATATATCTTCATTGGCTTTTGGTAAGGTGACCATATAATTCGTTCTCTACACTTAGTCCCTTTTGAGAATGAATGTGGGTCTAAACACACAGAAGACCAGGACAACTGATGTAAACAAAGACATTTTTGGGAAGCAGACATAAGGCCACACTAAATGTAGGGGAGAAGTCAGGGATACAGTCGCACAAGTAGGCACCAAGAAATGTCACATGTGAAAGTAGAAACTAGGGGGAAAATGTTATATGGTATGTTAGCAAGAGCCTAAGGTTTCAACTTGCCAGCCTAGGTTCAAATTCTGGCTGTGTCATTAATCACCTTTGTGACTTTGATGAAAACATTTAGTCACCCTGAGATTCAGTGTATTCATCTGCAAAATGTGATCATTGTACCTGTCTTTAAGTTGTGAAAATTAAATAAAAACATCTAATTTTAGGTGCTTAGTACAGACCCTGGTTGTGGTAATTCCTCTAAAAATAATAGTTACTTTTCTAATTATTTATCTAAGTCTATACACATGAGCCAGAAGAGGCAGCCACATTTAGAGATATAAGCAAGAGTGAAGTACTGGAGTGGCTTTACTAAGTCGAACCCTCTTCTTGGTCCCTTGAGCATCTTTAATGGGTCTTTGGAACATGTGACATCTTTCTTCCAGTGGAGAGTGTTGCTCTTAAAGGTACCAGTTATTCACAATCACTCATCTAACAATAACACAATGTGAATAAGACAAAACAAACAAAGAAGAATTCAGAAAGGTATTCTAACTCAGAGTCATTCTTATGTTACTTAAACTCTTCCACACTCAAATTATTCACTTTTAAAATGGAAATACTAATTTATACCTACATATGGTTGTGTGAGGATTAAATAAAATGATGCATTAAGGCAAACTGCACAAGGCTTAGATGTGGAGATATTCATTAAATGGTAGCGGTAGTACCAAAAAACAAAGAGTAGCAGTGGAGCTTATTTTTTTAACCTATTAACTTTCATCAACTTCTGACTCTGCTTGTAGTTTTCTCACATTTGTTTGTAGAATTACCTCACAGAAAAATGTTCCCTCCAGAGAACACTATTAAAAAAAAAGACAAAACACTGAAAAGTGAACACAATATGGTGAAAAAAATCCTAAAACATTATCTATTTAATTTATTCCACTGTTCGTTAGGACTGCAACTTAGCTATTGGAGAAAGGTAGCTAATAACTACAATATTGAGTATTTCAAAAGGCTTATATTTAGTAGTAAAATGTCAAACTCTATGGAACTTAAAAGAGGAACTTATACATTAATTTTTCTGAGTATTATGCAATTTTCCCATATACTTCAAAAATATACTTTAGAGGTTATATTAAATATACCTCACATATTTTTAAATTTCTAAATTTTAATTGATTTAGTCTAAAATTTATTCAAGAACTTGAAAGACTCTCTTTTTTCTCAACAATATGATTACTTACTGTTGGATATTAAATATATTCAATTAACCTCATATCCATATATTTAAAAGTTCAAAACCTTCCGTTCATGTGATACAGAATATAGCAAGATCATGAAAACTTGTTTTCAACAGTATAAAAATGTTTATTTTCTGATTAGTAAAGTATTACATGTTCAGTATAGAAACCTTGAAAAATAGGAAATTAAAGATTATTCCACCATACAAAAATGATATACTTTTATATGAAAAATTGAAATTATAACTGTTTATTCTTTATACATATGCTGCTTTACTTCATTTAACAATATTATCAAGATCACTGCAGGGGTGAGGCTGGGGAGCAACCCTGCTTACTACCCCACAGTTTTCCCATAGCTGGGAGTTTTCCCCCAACAACTCTGTATAAGTGAACACTCAGCTTCCTCTTTACCCCTTACTCACCCACAGGAGGAGAATTAAGGAGGAGCATCATTCCTGTCTGGTGAGTTTGCCAAGAATTTGACATTCACTATGTTGCATTAACTAGAGGCAGTAGCACTGCACTCAAAAAGCAATGCATTTCTCTCCTTATTTTTCTCTTTTTTTCCTAATTGTAAATATTTTTATGTATATGGGTTTAAACATCATTTAAACTGTATCCGCCCTGTATCACCATTGCAAAAAGACCCCAACACCTGATTTTAATTAGGCATGCTTCTCTTATTAACTACTTTCTATTACCCACATTACAGAAATAGGATTAGACCAGGAAAACTTGTTTAATTTAACACAAAGGATGCCCCAGCAGGGGGCTGAGTTGGTGAAAGACAAGAATAATTTCATTCTAAAGATTAACTGGTAGGGTAAGCCCCACATGCGTATTCCTAGCTCCTAATTACAGACCAACACTCTCCCTGAGGTGGCTACCTCACCCAACTCCGGCCAGCAATAGGAACATGCCTAGGTTCATTTGTCTGGCAAAATGCTACCTATTCATTTGTCTACTAAAATGCTGCTGTAGAGGAAGTATACTGGTTTCTAGATTAAAAAAACACAAACATATTGTGAAAGTTGTGATTATCATGAGACAAAGTTTTGTTAAACAATGATGGTTAAAGTAGTCATTCCTCTCCATTTATCTAACTTTTTTTTTGTTTTTGAGACTAGGTCTCACTCTGTTGCTCAGGCTAGAGTCCAGTGGAGCCATTACAGCTCACTGAAGCCTTGACCTGCAGGGCTCAGGTGATCCTCTCATCTCAGCCTCACCAGTAGCAGGTATGCGCCACCACAACTGGCTAATTTTTTGTATTTTTTGTAGAAATGGGTTTCACCATGTTGCCTAGGCTGGTCTTGAACTCCTGGTTCAAGCGATCCTCTCATCTTGGCTCATGCCTGTAATCTCATCCCAAAGTGCTGGGATTACAGGCATGAGCCACCACACCGAGCTGTGTACCCAACTTTTAGTGGAGGGTTTAGTATATGCAGACACAGGGCTAAGCGAAATAGCATTTCTCTTCAATGAATCCTCTTAAAAATCTTATAAGATTATTTTCTTTTATTATACATTATCTACGTATAGGGAAATGGAGCTTTGTAACTTGTCCAGGGTCTCAAAATTAATACACAATAGTCATGATTTTAACCCAGGAAGTCCAATTCCAGAGTTCTAACTTTTAAACTGTTTCATTCTACTGCCTTCTTGTGCTAGGGTCAGCATTTGGATGACTGTTAATTCTGGCATTGATCTTTTAATAGCCTGTGACATAGATGTTATGGGGTGAAAATTACACTGATGATCAACTTATGATCTGGCTAACTGGGTTGTCTACCTAGGCATTCATAAAGAAAGGCTGATCTATGCTCAAACACATTTTCTTAACCACAGGATATATTTTTGCTTCACTAATTGCTGAGAACAGATGAATCATTTCACACAAGTCTGGGTTGTTTTGTGTAGTCATGTGTAGAGGATCCAAGGAGAAAATCTGATCAACATCATTTAAATGGCAGAGAATGAAATATTGGCACAGGAGTGTAGGAATATCCTGCTTAGCTAATGTACAATATGTATGTATGTAGCATGTCTTTTTCTTCCTTTCTGCTTTTAATGTTTTGTCTTTATTAGTAGTTTTCAGCAATTTGACCATAATATGCCTTGGTGTGTTTTTCTGTGTTTCTTCTGCTTGGGGTTTGTGGAGCTTCTTGGAACTCTGACTTTATAGTTTCTATTAAACTCAAACAGAGGAAGGGAGACCCTTCTGAAGATTTATCTCTCTTTTTCTTCCTTCCTCTCTTTTGGTTATTCTGCTCTGCAAATTCTAGATGCACTGACCTCCTCAAAAGCCCACCTATCTCTCTATCTAAATAAGACTACAAAGCTATTTACGACAGTCCGGAAACTGTCTTTGGTAGTAAGGTGGGCGATTTCTGCATTTGCCTGGTTAATATGTCATAGCAGGGACCAAGAAACACATTTAAGAGTAATCTGGAAAATTCTAGATTAGAATAGAGATCTATAAAGATGGATAGAAGAGAACTTCTTCATGCAAATATTGACCTGTGACTCAGAGTTCAATGTTCTGAAAAGAACACTCATAACCTATCAGGTAATTTATTAGAATGACTCTGTGAAGCTTCGACATTATTATGGTTTATTGTAAATGAAGTGAAGATAAAAGGTATAGACTAAGGTATAGAAAGCTCAAAGGGTAGAAGGCTCAATAAGGTAGAAATGTTAATGTAAATAGACTATATAAGAACTGAAAAATCTACAGCCTGATAAGTTTACTGAGCAGTAAGGACACTTCCTCCACTAAGACCATAAAAAATGTACAGGAGAAAGTAGGTAGATATTAACTTCTTTGAACAACATCATGATTGCTAACCCCTGTAAAGTCAGGTTGACTGTGGAAGATGAAGCCTAATATGAATAGAGATCATGGGATTCTGGAATTGCAGAAACCATGGAGTAGCACTTAAAAGTCAGAGGAAAGGTATGTATATTACTATATTGAGCATGAAGGCCAGAATGACCTTAAGGGTGCTTTCACTCACAGGAATCTGTGGCATAGCTAAGGGATTATGCAGAATCTGGAGGCAAATAGTGAACAGTGGCCAGAGGTTTTATCAAACCATATAATTTTAAAAAATGAGAACTAGCTGGCAGAATTCTGGTATCAGCCACTAGTGTGTAAAACCACGGTCTTTTGTTAATTTTCCAAATTTAAGCAAGTTTCCGGATCCAGTGCTCACTGATTAAAGGGAAAACATGGTTCCCTTGTATAAGTATCTTGCAACACCATTGTAGGTATATACATTGAATATTCTGCTTCTTCCTCAAATTGCTGACCTAACATCATGTATCATAATAACTATATACTAAGAAAGAACAATATCTACATTTTTAATCAACTGTTATAGGGTCTGAGGTGATACCAAGGGACCTGGAATGCCACTGTGATCTTCTGGTGAGAAAAGGGGCTTATAGAGGATAAATTTTAAAGTTTTGATTTAAGCTAACAATGGGCACAACAAGTCCTGAAACTCATCCTTTGGTTAATTCCTGAATTCCTAAGTATACAATTTTGATACATAGACTTAAAAACTGGAAAGGACTGCCCTGACCGGTGGAATAAGGGCCCTATGATTTAAAAAAAATAAAAAGGCAACTGAAAGACATGAAAGTTTCTGCTCCTAGTCAAAATAGATAATCAGAAGAAAAACTGAATCCTGCGAGGAAATACAGAGAAGCATTTCCTTAATAGGCTTAAAAGATTTGAGTAGTGGTCCTTTATGATATTGTCATTCATCTAGCCACCACACAAAACGGATGTATTGTGATGGATGAAAATGGACTATCATAAATTTAAAAGTAAAGCAGCTGTGGTACTAGATCAACACAGCCAATGACACTTGGTTTGCAGATGTTAATCTGGCAAATGCATTTTTTTAACCCCATCAATAGGGAGACAAAGAAGTTCACTTTTACATAGAAAAGATGATAGTACATATTTACTCTCTTGCTCCAGACCTACTGTTCAGCTTTCTGTCAAAATATAGTTTTCAGGAACATTAGATATCTTGAATTCCTCAGAACGTCGTATAGATCCACTATACTAGTGGCAGAATGCTATTTGAACATGGTGAGTAGAAAGTGGTAAGTATCTTAAGGTCCTAATATGACACATGCTTGGCAGAAGTTGAAGATAAACTTGACAAAGATTCAGGGCCCTGTCACACAAGTTGAAGTTTTGGTGGCTCAGTGGTCTTAGATATGTAAAGACATCATCTCTGTAATATTGTGAAATATATATTTGGTCTTCATCCCCATTTCCTGGCACACAGTTCCTAAAACCCTTAGAATCTCCAGTGATGAGTGTCTTTGTATGCTAATGAGGTGGCTGGTAGCTGAGGGCTCCTAGGAAACATCACAGTAGGGGATGGCCACCAGAAAACCCAAGGCATTTAGCCCCACCTGCCAATCTCTGGAAGGGAGAGAGAGGGCTGAAGGCTGAGAGATCACCAATAGACAACGATATAGTCAGTCATGCCTACGTAATGAAGCTTTCATAAAAACTGAAAACGGCAGAGTTCAGGAGAATTCAGATAGTTAAACACGTGGAGGGTCTTGCAGAGTGGTGCAGTGGAGGGGGCATGGAAGCTCCATACCCCTTCTCATATGCCATGCTTTATGCTTCTCTTACAACTGGCTGGATACTCATCTGAGTCCTTTGTAATATACTTTATAATAAGTGGGTGCAAGTGTAAGTAAAGTGTTTCCCTGAGTTCTATGAGCTGATCTAGCAAATTATTCAAACCTGAGGAGGGAGTCATAAGAGCCTGCATTTTGTAGCTGGTCTGTCAGAAGTACAGGTCACAACATGGGACTTGCAGTTGGTATCTGATGTGGGGAGGTGTGAGTCTTGTGGAACTGAATCCTCAATCTGTGAGATCTAACACTATGTACAGGAAAATAGTGTCAGAATTGAATTACAGCACACCCAGCTGGTGTCTGCTGAAGAAGTACTTTGTGTATGGGGAAATAATCCTCACACATCTGGTGTCAGAAGTGTGGTGTTGAGTGGTTTGTGAGAGTAGGAGAAACACTTTTTTTCCTATCCCTAATAGTCTCTAATATAAATCTCCTTCTGATAAGGAAAAGTAGAACATTTGTTGAATTCTTTGGAGTTTGTAGGTAGCAAAGAATACCTTTGTTAATGCAAATCCAATTGATTTATTCAGAAGACAGCCAGCAAGAGAGGTTTCTGCAGTAAGTCAGACTATGACCTAAGGTTCCACACAAACATACTCTATGACCCTGAAGTTTTGATGGCAGTAGAGATGCTTCTGATAGGTAAAAATGCTGTGTGGAGTAACTGATAACCCTCAGTAGGAGGGTAACAATGCAAATACCTCAGTTTCTGGAGCAAGACTATACCTTCTGAGTCACAGAAATTCTCACTGTTTGAGAAACAGCTCCTGGTACACTATTGAGTACTTGATCCTGACACACCAAGGAAATATAAAGCCCTGATACGCAACGAGGTGAAATCCTGACAAATGGAAATTGAAAAGTGGCAGATAAAATTCCTATTCCCTTCTCTTCTGAACAGGCTATCTTTAGATTCAGTTTTTCTTGTTATTTCTCAGAAGACCATCTTGCAAGACGAAGTGACCAGTTGTACTGGATAGCTCAGTAGCATCCTCACTTCAGTCTTCCTTCTGCCCTGTGTTGCTTCCTTTTTCCCTCACACCTAATTTTCTGTGATAACATTTTCAGGAAATTTGTAGCCCACAAACATCGCCTCAGTTTCTGCTTTCTGGAAAGACCAAGAAAGGGTCTCCTACTTAAGACCCTTCAGTGGTTAAGCCTGTTGTTTCAGCTCTGTCTTTCTAATCACCTCTCTCAACACTTCTTGCCTTGCAGTTTATACTCTAATTATATCAAATTGCTTTTGCTTCCCTATAGAAATCAGGCTGTTTCATACCTTTAGACCTTGACTTATGCTCTTTACTTGGTCAAGAATGCCATCTTTCATTCCCCTTTAATTATCATGTAGTAATCAACTCAGAGGTCACTGCCTTCTGCATTTCTTTCTCAGGGTAAGAGGTGTGAGATGTAATGATCTGTCATTTGTCTTATAGGAGATTGTCTGACACACCCTATGCCACTGATACACTGAAAACATCGCCAGTGTAACAGGACCCTGAATCTTCATGATACTTACCTCCTATGCTTCGATAGGCCTGTGTCATGCAAGGGCTCCAGGATAAACTGGACGGCCATTAGGAGACAATATGTGGTAGGGTGGATCACCTATGAGAAAATGTGAAGGACATTTTGAAGCTATTTGTTAAGTGTCTGGACCCTTGAATTTAGACTGTTGACTGAAATAAGGAAAATCCGGGCTGTGCCCCCACCCCACCCCACACACAATTTGGACAAGAAGAAAAAGAACTCACTTGAGAGGGGTAAGATTTAAGAATATGTGCTCTACTTTTAGATGAAGAAAGGAGAAATCCTGCAAGTGCAGATTTCTGATCCAAACTTTGAAAACTTGGAGAATGTTATGCAATAAAGAAATCAAGGTAACATTTTACAAACCAAATGAAGGCTGTTAATTACAGCTTAGGCTATTTAGATTTGGTTCAACAGTCATCACATTTACAGTAAACTTCACCTTTCACTTGTGGTAGAACAAATTGATTCTCCCTTTAGTTCAAATATGTTTGAGTGCTTTATCTTTGCTATGTGCTATGCAAGGAACTTAGAGTACAGAGAAGAATCACACAGGCTCTTTGCTATCAGGGAGCTTCTAGTCTAATCTGAGGCATTGCCCAGTCCCACTGATCATGGTTGGAGAGCTATGAGAGAGGTATGCCAGGGCACTGTGGGAGACTAGGAACAAGGCTGTCCAGTGTGCACGAGCAGAGGAGGCTCCCTTATGACCCTTGCACCCTAAAGTACGGCAAGACAGAAACATTATGAATGAGGATAAAGACCCTGTCTGTAGCAAGTAGGATCCATAACAATGAATACTGGGTATGTATGTGAGTATTCTACTGCAGAGAACTGCAAGATTTTGAGGAAAAGTGGGCCCATTTAATATCATTGTTAGCGGTCTTTTTCTCTCATAACATTTGTTCTCTATCATGCTCTTTTCTAACTCAGTAAAAGACTTCTGGGTATGTTGAAGTTGTTAATAATTCCTATTTAGTTTTGTTTTCCATAAACTTGGTCAATTTTTTCTAGCATAAAAAAAAGTTCTTTCCAGCTGTGATTTTAAAGAAATAGCCTCTTCCATTTGTGTCTTATGAGTAAGCCAACATTTCAAATTTAGCAGTTGAGCTAAAACTTCTACACTTTTTTCTCCTTCAGAAAACATCTTCCTCCTTTCTCACTGGTAACTCTGTTTGTTTAAAGTCCTAACTATGGATTCTCATGTGCTATCCTATGTAGCAAGCAGGAGGGGGAAATCTCCGCCTACCTGGATTCATGCCATTTTAGTCCTTTCCTCCCAGACTGAACAGACAATTATTAAGACTTTAGACTTCTTTGAATTCTGCTTGATGTTGACTGAGGTTGTTTATTTCACAGTTCTGGAGGTTCACACATCTAAAATTGAACAGTTCATATAGTTGGAGAATGGTACGTGACTGTAGTCTGAGCATGAAGTACATTTGGATGGCGTATATGTCAACTGAATGCAGGTAGCAATAAGCATGTGTGTTCTGAAGACAAATGAGCAAATTTGCCTCCTTACTTCCTGTGGAACATAGAGCCTCCTTTGTCTTGCGTTGTCTTTCAGCAAACAAAGAAGCAACTTGGCCACATAGCGCTCACGTTTTATTTATTTATTTCCCCCCTGTAGTGTTTTCAGTCCAAGCTGCCCTACATGAAGGAATCATGTCTATGTATTAGCAAGGCCAGACTATTGCATGGGAAGTTCTCTTTTGACCCCTGCAACAGATTAACTGTTGGCCATAAGGAAGTCTCTTAACCTCATGGCATTTCCCTTTATGCTCTCCAAGTGGAGGATAATAACGCTGGAAAAGAAAAGTGACTTGATATTCACAAATAGGAAGCATCCTTTCAATGTTTTTGTACATATGGGTTTCTTGTTACAATAATAGTACTATTTTAATGAGCCTAAAATAATCCAAGAGGGTTCTAGAACACTGCTGTGTGGCTAATAAACCAATTTTTCAGTGTGTCATTATTTTGTAAAAAAATATTGAAGTAAAAAATATTTTACTTCACCTGTTCATTATCCATGGGAATATTTTGATTGTCATGCAGGAATTGGTAGATAACTAAAAAAGCACACACATACTAGCTTAGTAGTTTAAAGGCCTCTTACTAGGTATGAGCTGAGAGGAGTATAACGAAAAACAAAATAAAACAAAAAATACATACAAATAAAGCTTTTACCATTCATTTTGGTGCAAATAGAATTCATTTTATAAAAGAAAAGCTTACAAAGACTAGACCTCTGGAACTTCAAATTTTATTTGTGTTTCATTATAATCTCACCTCTTCAAGAAAAAAAATGCAATATCTACTAAATCATTAGCACAATATAAAGCCCCTTTTATTAAATATAAATCAGAGAGAAAATATCTAATATAACCTTCTTATATTGACACTAGTTACATTTTTTTAAAATGCAGATACTCAAATATTATTGAGAAAACCTAAATCATTGAATATGTTCATAAAGTAAAACAAAAACTGTAGTGCAGTAAAAGAAAATGAAAGAACCACTCCTCTTTCCCACTAACCTAGCCATATTGAAGCTATTTCAGTCAGCCAACAGCATTGATTCAATATCCACTAGTACAGAGCACTGCATATGTTCTTTGAGTTCAATCAAATAGAACATATAACTCCTGCCTTTAAAGACCTTTCTTTCTAATAAGTCTCCATTAACACAGAAGCATTGAAACACATTCAGAATCCACAGATTGCACTAAGATTTACACAATCAATGGACAGGGAAGTTTAAAGAATGGGCAGCAGAGGAGAGTCCAGAATGCAGTCAGGAGTGCTAGTTTTGATCTCATCAAAGTATCACACCCCATCAACTTTTCTGGCTTCATACCATATAATAGTACAACCTCTGTGGATAACCAGAGGTTATCAAGGACAGCTGTGAGCATAAACAGCAGCAATGAGGACCATCAGATAGTCATATGGATGTGTTTATTGTTCCTGCCCTTGGGAGGCCCAGAGGAGCTGCCTATTTGTCCTCTATGTCTAGAAGATCAAGAACCAGAGGGAACAGAGACACTTCCTTGGGGTGCTTTGACAGAAGGCAGGAGACAGTTGGCCTATTTCTACACTCCCAGTCTGGGGAAAGGGGAGGCACTGTGGGTCTGTGATGACTTCCTGCCTTAGTGATTGTCCTCTCTTGGAAACTCTAACACAAAGACCCAAGTTCCAGTAAGCAAAGAAAGAAAACTAACAATCCATTCAAGGAAAATACATCAGAACAACAGAACTCGTGCCGGGCCAATAGAGCAGTTAGAGTAAAGACTTGACAACTTGAGTAAGGAATTAATAAGAACCCTTCAAGAAATTCAAGTACAGCACTTGGGAGACTGTGGAAATAAGTAATTTAATACATGAATCAAAGGAGATATGTAGAAGTGACCCAGACGATCAAGGGAGTCAACTATGTCCCAACATAGAGGGCAAGAACATGAAGAAATGAGAATGAGGGGAAAGATAATACTTTCAGAAGTCTAAGAGACCAAACATGCAAGTAAGAGAATTTCTACAAGGCAATGTAAGAACTGGGACAAAAGAGGAATGATTAAAGACATGATAGAGAAAATGTTCTATAAATTACATAACAAATCCCTGTAGTCTCTTGGTAGATTGAGAAGAAAAGATACACATGTAGGAAAAAAAAATTTAGAAAATATTTCTGAACTCTAAGGAGAAAGGGATAATCTTAAAACTTTCAAGTGAAACAAGTTACAATGAAAAAGAAACTGAAAGACATTGAGCTTCATCAGCAACACCCGAGAGGAGAAGACAGTGAAATGACACCATCACACTACAGAGGAATTTTATTGCAAGCCACCATATCAAAATTGATTATAAATTCACTTTAAATAATTATGATATTGGCAAAAAATAGACAAATGTTTGTAGAAGAGCCTAGCAATTTTAAAAATAAACCTACATTCATAGGACATTTTAATATCTGACAAAGGTAGAAGTTTAGTCTGCTGAGAATATTATGATGATGCAACTGGCTCCTGGTTTAAAAAGAATATAAAATTGTATGCTAAAATAACATAAAATTGTTCCATTATCCTATGCTCTATTCAAAACTAAATTCCAGGTGAATAAAAGCACTATTTTTAAAATTATGAACAAAATACTTGCAATTCAGATCACAGATTATATCATTAGTATTCATAATAAAACTAACTGGAAATAAAGTGAATGTCCATCAATAGGGGAATTACATGAAAATTTATGGCTCATATTGCAAGATTATAAAGTCATTAAACATAAGTTAGGGTCATGCTAATTGACTCAAAGGGACTTTCACTGGTTGTGGAGTAAAAACAAGAAAATAAGAAATGAGTTTATACCTTCATGCTATAGAAATTTAAAAAGACTGATTACATCTATTATTGGAAGGCATGGAGGAAAAGGTTTGGGTTTATACACTGGTGTTTGAAATTTCAAGTGTTATACTTTATTGAAAGTGTCTGGATTGAATTGAATTCAACTAAATAGAATTCAGTTGACTCATAAAGAATCAAATGCAAGTTCCCATTCTGTCTGTTTTAGACTCTATTTTACAAACAAAAGAATTAAATAGAAATAAATAACTATAGGCGACATTTAGAAAAGTCTGAACTTTTGAATACAATCTTTCTGGGTTACTCATGTTCTCTCATTAAAAATACATGGGATATCACATTGTCCTTGTTATAGCTTCCTCAATTATATGAATAGGTAACATTAAAAGTTGTGCTCCAAGAGTTCATGGCATGGTTAAAGCCTCCTAACTTTACAGCACCTTAGATAGTAGTCTTGTGAGCATTGTCTCTACCTGTGGCAGCATTATAGACGTATTGTATCTGTAAAATGACATGTGCTTATTTTTAAATTTGGTTTTGTTTGAGTATTAGTCAGAATAAACAAGGTAATGCTGCAGTAACAAAATAACCCAGCAATCTCAATAGCTCATTAAAAGTAAAGTTTATTTCTTAATCCTACTGCATGTTAATCAAGGGTCTGCTTCAAGTAGTCACTCAGGAACTCGGTTTTTGCAAGTTCCACCATGTTCATTGAACACACAGCCTCTTCATGTCATGGAACACCCAACCACTTCATGGGAAGGTGCCACGAACAGACAGTCTTCTTTTGGCAGGGGATAAGGGTTTTGGACGTTTCCTCATTGGTAATTAAATTCTTTGACCTGTTTGTTCACAACTTATTGAGTAGGACTAGTTAATTTGTACCTGACTGAGGGGCTGTGAAAGAGAACTTCCCAGATGCTCAGAGGAGGTATAACTAGAATTGGCTGATCCCTTTTGTTCTCTACCAAAGTACATTTTGAGGATTTAGGGTTGTGATTGTGTTTTGTTTTATTAAACTGTAAGTCTAACTCATAGATGGTGGTATGGTAAAGGAGGCTACAAAAATTAATTTATTCAATAAAAAATGCTATAAAGGGAATTTAGATACCTGCTAAGGTGGCTGAAAGGTAAGGAAATGGAAGATTTCATGGTGGCAGCTCAAGAAGAATTGGATGCTATTTACAGTAACAAATAAGGTATGGAATTAGGTTATAAAAACAATGTGTAGGAATTGCAAAGAAAGGACAAAAGGCAGCTAATAAAGATAAAGGAAGCAGACAAGGCTGCTATCAAAGTGATGCAGCATAATATGACATTTCAAAATAGTACAGTGGAGAAGAAAAGCACTGAATATGATCTGATTGCTCAGACTGACATTAAGCAACTGTGGCTGCTGCTGAGTCCTCATGTTTATGGCAAACCTCCAGTACATTATGTACGATAATTTGGCATATCACGTTTTAGGATTTAGCTTGAAGTCAGGCAGTTAGCTACAGACCTGAATTCTGAATAAGATATTAGTTTTGTTTTTACTTGAAGTATTGAGAGCTTCTTGAAATTCTTTTTTCTCTAAAAATACCACAGTTACAAAAGCATGACAAGAGAGTTCACATATGTCTTTGAATTAACTTTAACAAATGCCATATTTTCCTTTTTCAAACAGGTATCTTCAGGCACTTCACTCTATACCCTGTTATGCATTCAATGTGCATGACCAAGATTTACCCAGTGAATTCTGTCTGTAAACAGCAAAAGCCAAGAGCAGATTTCCCAGGAAAACCAGACTCTAATGGTAGATATCACCTCACTGACTATAAAGTTAGATACTGTAATATAATCCAAAACTTTAAAACACATGTTTACCTTGCCACCCGCTATTAACTTATTTTCCTTATAATGGATGGTTGGTCCTCCTTCTACTATATGATGTATTTGTATTTGTACTATATGATGTATATGATTAAATTGTATTTAACATATTGCTTGTCATCTACATCACAGAAAATTTAATAAACACTTACGTAAACCTGCTATTATAATCACTCTCTAAAAAAAGAAACTTCATTAAGTCCACTTTAAAATTAAATTTGAGAATTCATCCTAACTCATTATTATGGACAAATATATGTAAATGGTGACATTTTAATACAGTCATTTGAACATATTTTTTAAAATTGATGAATGATTGCCAAAAGCAAATTTTCTGAAAAGGAATATTTTAGACAAAGGGCCAAAAGCTGATTTTAGTCATTGAAGTGAGTAATTTCCTTTTCAAACCTCTTGACATCTGAACTATAATCATTTTCTGTCTCCCCAACATAAAAGATGGTTAAAAATTTATAGAGAAGAAAATATTAAAAAATGAGAACATTCTGAGTCACTAACTCAGATTCTAACAATCCGAGTTAGTGACTCAGAATATTCTCATTTTATAAGATTTTCTTGAAAATTACGTTTTCAAGGTCCTAACAGTGTTGTTCCTTGAAAAACATGCAATTTATTTATCATATATTTTACTAATAACTAAAATCAGCTTCCATATGCTTTATTAATAAAGCAAAGCCATAAGTGTAACAGCAAAATAGATACATTCTTGCTATTTCTAGCACATCATCTTCATGATGAGGAATTTAAAGTGATGGAAGCACTGAAGTAAAAATTAAAAATTTGAAATTTGAAGTTATCCACTTAAAAAATTTGGAACAATATAAATGAAAATATCATTCCTAAGGTATAACTGTTGACATTATTGTTTGTTAAGAAAAATTAGTATTTAGCCATTATAATTTGGAAAGACATAATACATCCTTCAGAGAGATTCTTCTTCTAATTGCCCCAACAACTTAGATTATGGTGTCACTAAGTTCCATTCTGTCTTAATCCTATACTACAATTATTCTTCTCACAATCCTAGGGAGATTGAATCCACTTATATGCTTTTAATTATCATCTATGTGCAAGGACTTTCAAACCCTACAGCTCTTGATTCTGAGTTTTAAGCCTAAATAGCCACATCCATTCAGGATGTCTCCATTTCATTGGCCACAAGTGACTCAAACTCAATTGTTTCAAAGTTAACTTCATCATCCTTCACCCCCAACTTCCCTGCCTTGGATTAAAAATTGAGATCTTTCAGTGGCATTTCAATGACCCACACCAACAGACACTAACTTACTCTTGATATCATTCTAGACAGCTTCTCCATCTTCATACTTGCCTCCCTACCCTAACACATATCTAATCATCGCCCAGTCTAACAGTTCTATCTTCTAAAGAAACCATTAATTTTTTTACTTTCATTTTTTAATATTAGCATACACACTCAGGCCAGGACTCTTCTCTGTTAAATTACAGTAATCACTTCCTAAGTTTTCTCCTTAACAGCCTGGCCTTGCCAATTCTAATCTATTCTTCACATTGATACCCCTAAAATGAAAACTGGGCCATGTTAACTATGTTTCCATCAAAATTCTTCAGTGACTTCCCAAGAAGAATAAAATCCAAAATCCAAAACACATCATACATCTCCTTCATGACTTCTGACCTTCTCCACTTTGCATTCCAGGCACATCAAACTTAAATCCTTATATATGCTATGCTCCTTCTCAATTGTGTGATCTGCAATAAGAATATTCTTCAGTTAGGAACATTATTTCTTCATTTGGTTACTTATGGATCCCAATGTTAATATTAATTATTGTGGGAGGCCATTTTTAAACCCTTTATAAATTTAAGATTGGTATTCTCTCTCTTTCTCTCTCAAACAATTTTATTGAGGTATAATTGCTATAACAAAAAACTGCCACATGTTTAAGGTACACAATCTGATGCGTTTCAGCACATGCATATACCTATGTATGATACCATCCACACAATTAAGATTATGAACATATCCATCCCTCCAAAAGATTTTTTGTGTTCGTGTGTGTGTGTGTGTGTGTGTGTGTGTGTGTGTGTGTTGGGGGTCAAAATACTCAATATAAGATCTTCCTTCTTAACAAATTTTTAAGTGTACAATACTGAATTTTAAACATAGACATTATGTTGTACAGCAGATCTCTAGAACTGATTCACATTGCATATTTTCTCTTATGACTAAATAGTGTACAATTCTTCATAGCATGTGGTTATCATACCTTGTTTTAATTATATACAAACAGTCCCCTCTTTGCATGGTTCCAATATGCACAGAGTTTAATTATCTTGATTTAGTTAAATCACACAAATCACCCAATAACAGAGTTCACATTAAGTTGGCAGGGTATATTACCTGTGAGTAATTGCATAAGTTATAAACTTTTCCGCTATCTCTTTAGCCTACAAATCACTTCATAAATAGCAAATATGCATCATGATCAGTTACCAATAACAGAACTTCTTTCAAAGTCTGTCAGTGTTTGGTCACTACGCATCTGTTATTTTGTTTACTTAGATAAGAAAGCATTTGGTTGTGTTGCCTTGTTGTCTCCCTATAATTAATCCACATGATATTTTACAAAAATGGAAAATGGAAAGAGGAAATCGGCCAAGAAAAATGAAAGTGCAGCAAAGAAGCAAAAAGTAATAACGTTAGAAGTGAAATTTGGATTGTACACTAATGGAGTTTTAGAAAAAAATAGATGACTATCAGAACATTGATACTGCTGCAATTGGAGAAACTCTAGATATGCTGCCAGAAGAATTTACCTAGGATGAATTTATTAATGTAAATAAGGAAAGTAGTTGTGATGAAAAGAATAAGCGATGTCCCAGCAAAATTAAAGAACTCTCAGAGGTATTTCACAACATTTAAAGTACAAGGGATAAAGTGTTGGAAGCTCGTCCAGATTTAGAAAGGAGCATGACAATTCACCAAGGCATTAATAAGATATTTGCTTCACATCATTATTTATATGAGGAGAAGGCAAGCACTATTCAAACTATACTTGATAAATTTTTACAAAGAACTACAATAGTCATCTTACTGTTTCTAATGTTTTAAATTACAGTGCACTAAAGAAATATTAGTTTTAGTATGTTTTAACATCCCTTCATAATACAAACCCTCAATAAACTAAGTATTGAAGGAACATACTTCAAAATGATAAGAGCCATCTATGACAAACCCACAGCCAACATCACACTGAACTGGCAAAAGCTGGGAGCATTCCTCCCGAGAACTGGAACAAGACAAGAATGTCCACTCTCACCACTCCTATTAAATATAATGCTAGAAGCCCTAGCAAGAGCAATCAGGCAAGAGAAAGAAATAAAAGGCATCCAAATTGGAAACATTGAAGTCAAATTATCTCTATTCACTGATGACATGATCTTACACATAGAAAACCTGAAAGACTCCACCAAAATACTCCTAGACTTGATAAACAACTTCAGTATAGTTTCAGAATACAAAATCAGTGTATAAAAATCAGTAGGATTTCTATATATCAATAACATTTAAGATGAGAACAAAATCAATAACAATCCCATTTACAATAGCTACACACACAAATACCTAGGAATATATTTAACTAAGGAGGTGAAATATCTCTACAAGAAGAACTACAAAACACTAATGAAAGAACTTACAGATGACACCAACAAGTGGAAAAACATCCCATGCCTATCGGTTGAAAGAATCAATGTAGTTAAAATGACTATGCTTCCCAAAGCAATCTACAGATTCAATTCAATTCTCATCAAAACTACCAATATCATTCTTCCCAGAATTAGAAAAAAAATCCTAAAATGTATATGTAACTAAAAAAGAACCTGAATAGCTAAAGCAATCCTAAGTGAAAAGAACAAAGCTGGAGGCATCACATTACCTGACTTTAAATTATACTATAAAGCTATAGTAACTAAAACAACCTGGCACTGTTGTTTAAAATAGACACATAGATCAATGAAATGGAACAGAGAACCCATAAATAAAGCCACATACTTACAACCAACTGAACTTCAATAAAGTTGACCAAAAAAAAGGGGGCGGGGGGAAAGGACTTCCTATTCAATAAATGGTGCCGGAAAAATAGGGCAGCCCTATGCAGAAAAATGAAACTGGACACCTCTCTCTCACCATAAACAAAAATAACTCAAGGTGAATTAAAGACTTAAATATAAAACCTGAAAAGATGTAAGTCCAAGAAGAAAACCTAGGTAAAACTCTTCTGGACCTTGGCCTAGGCAAAGAATTTATGACTAACACCCCAAAAGCAAATGCAACAAAAACAAAAATAGACAAATGTAACTTAATTAAACTAAAAAGCTTCTGCACAGCGAAAGAAATAATCAGTAGAGTAAACAGGCAACCTACAGAATGGGAGAAAACATTTGCAAATTATGCTTCTGCCAGAGAATTCATATCAAGATTCTATTAGGTTTGTGCAAAAGTAGTGGCAAAAACCACAATTACCTTTACACCAACCTAATAAAAAGAACTCAAACAACTCCACAAGAAGAAAACAAAACCCACTAAAAAGTGGGCAAAAGTCATGACTAGACACTTCTCAAAAGAAGACATGCAAGTGGCCAACAAACATATGAGAAAATGCTCAACCTTTTTTTAAACATCAGATAAATACAAATTAAACCACAATAAGATATCATCTTTCACCAGTCAGAATGGCTATTATTAAAAAGTCAAAAGCAACAGCGGTTGGCATGAATGTGGAGAAAAGGGTATGCTTATAACACTGTTGGTGAGAATGTACATTAGTACAACCTCCATGGAAAAAAGTATGGAGATTTCCCAAAGATCTAATAATATAACTACCATGTGACCCAACAATCCCACTACTGGGTATCAATCCAAGGGAAAATAAATTATTTTATCAAAAAGATACCAGCACTTGTATGTTTATTGCAGCACTATTCAATAGCAAAGTCATGGAATCAACCTAAGTGTTCATCAGTGGTTGCTTGGATTAAAAAATGTGGTATATATACATCACAGAATACTACACAGCTATAAAAAAAAGAACAAAATCACGTCTTTTGCAGCAACTTGAATGCAGCTGGAGGCCATTATCATAAGTGAAATAACTCAGAAACAGAAATCAAATACTATATGTTCTCACTTATAAGTGGAAGCTAAACAGTGAGTACACATGGACATCAAAATGAAAACAACAAACACTGGGAGCTCCCAAAGTGGGGAGGTTGGAAGGAAAGTGAGTGTTGAAAAATTACCTATTGGTTACAATGGTCACTGTTTGGATGATGGTCACTGGAAGCCCAAACCCCACCATTATACAATATATCCATGTAACAAATCTGTACATGTACACCCTGAATCTAAAGTAAAATAAAATTTAAAAAAAACTACCAAGTTTTTGCAATAACCTAGACATTGAAAGACAGGATACAAACTTACATGTATATAATTTCAAGTGTATAAAATATGCATGTAAAATAATAAAGGAATATAGCATAAAAATGTAATAATTGTGCATCAGCTAAAGTCTTCTAGAAAGCTGAAGCTAAGAGAGAGTTGGTGTGCAAGAGGTTTATGTAAGGTTGATGGAGAAATGTTGTAGGTGTAACACCTATGGAAATTAAATAAGAGGTAGCAAGTTTGAGCAGAGAAAGGCTTAGCTCATAGTGCAGATCTGATATCTGATACCTGTGAAAATAAGGGGAGGAGAAGGAAGAATTTGACAAAGAAAGTCTCAAACTACTATGTAGATCTGACAAGTCCTTGCCAACCCAAATATTGCTCCTTGGAGGAGTCCTCCGATGGCCAAAACAGCCAGGACCTAGATGTCCTGTCATGCTCATTTCATGGCTTTGGAATAGTCCAGGAAAAAGAGGACTTTTGCTCAAACATTGTCACAGATCATTACAGTGCTGCAGCTGGAGGCTGTCAGTCAACTGAACTCCTCACAACTGAATGACAAGTTTTTTTCAGGAAGGGAAATTGTAATCTCTTGGTGGAATAATGGGTAATTGTCTAATTTGTATAACTTTTAGCAATTATAACTTTTAATTATATAACTTTTAATTATATATATAACTTTTAATTATAACTTTTAATATATATAACTTTTAATTATAACTTTTAACAATTATAGTCTAATTTGTATAACTTTTGTATTTTTTTATGGTTGGCATGTTCTGTTTTTCTCATTTCAAAAAAGTAAACTATGATTTTTAAAAAATTAGCCTTGAGGTTGTCATCAGCCAAGACACAAAAATAGAACTGCAAATGTTTTACATGCAGCGAAGAAGCATATGAGAAAAACTTCAACATCACTGACCGTTAGAGAAATGCAAATCAAAACCACAATGAGATACCATCTCACATTGGTCAGAATGGCTATCATTAAAAAGTCAAAAAATAACAGGTGCTGATGAGGTTGCAGAGAAAAAGGAATGCCTATACACTGTTGCTGGGAGTATAAATTAGTTCAACCATTGTAGAAAAGAGTGAAGTGATGCCTTAAAGACCCAAAAACAGAGCTACCATTCGACCCAGCAATCGCATTACTGGGTATATATCCAAAGGAATATAAATTGTTCTATCATAAAGACAGAAGCATGCATATGTTCATTGCAGCACTATTCACAATAGCAAAGACATGAAATCAACCTCAATGCCCATCAAAGATAGACTAGATAAAGAAAATGTGGTACATATACACCATGGAATACTATGCAGCCATAAAAAATAATGAGCTCATGTCCTTTGCAGGGACATGGAGAGAGCTCAAGGCCATTATCCTTAGCAAACTAACAAAGGAACAGAGAACCAAATATCATATCTTCTTACTTATTAGTGGGGGCTAAATGAAAACAGATAGACACATACAGCAGAACAACAGATACTGGGGCCTATCAGAGGGTGGAGGAAGGAGAGGATCAGAAAAAATAACTAATGGGTACTAAGCTTAATACTTGGGTGATGAAATAATCTGTACAGTAAATGCCCATGACACAAGTTTACATATGTAACAAACCTGCACATGTACCCCTGAACTTAAAGGTAAAAAAAAAATTAAATTACATTAAATTAAATCTATACTCCAGGGACAGCTAGATAACATTTAAAGCACCCAATCATAAACCCACCCTCCAGAAGTGACCATTGCAAATACTTTAAATATTGTTATCTAAATCTTCACTAGAGGGTTCGTTAATTAAAAAGTATATTAATTACACAGTGGTGAAATGTGCTGTATTGGAGGACTGGAAAGAGTAAAACACCACTGCTCTTGTACAGACAATCTGAGTTCAGCCACTATTATTTGAATTTGCTCCTCTGAAATTCAGATGTTGCCAATGTGATAGTATTAAGAGCTGAGATTTTTAAGAAGTAATTAGGTCGTGAGGACTCCTCCCCTCATGAATGGGATTCGGTGCCCTAAAAAGGTTTAACAAAAGGAGTCCATTTTTTTCCTGCCCTTCCACTTTCTGCCACGTGGGGAAACAGCATTCATCTCCTTCGGAGGTTGTAGTATTCAAGGCACCATCTTGGAAGCCAAGTGCAGTCCTCACTGGCGCCTTGGTCTTGCACTTCACAGTCTCTGGAACTGTGATATAAATATCTGTTCTTAATTTTTTAAAAAGAATTGCAAATGTTTTTAATTATTGCTTATTTGCACTGTATAACATCAATATCCACCACAGGCTATTTTAAACACTTTGAATTAACTCATTTCAAGGTTTTTTTTTTTTGGTTAATTCTAACTTCATATGACTTTCCTTGCAGTTTGTTTTAGCTCTGTCATTGAAATTCTCCCTTTGTAATAGATGCACGTAATTAAGAACAGAAAAATCTGAAAGGACTGTAGAAGACACTTACTCTAGAGACCTTCAGATGGAGTAGTCAATGAAGGGTGAGGATGGGTGAGCTCCATCATTCTCAGTCCATTCTCTTTTATGTGTTTATTTATTAAGGTGCTAGTACACAAAATTATCCTTTAAACAAGTAGTTCTGCTGCTGAAAAGGATACAGTCACTGAATTCAAAATTCAACTAATTCTGTATAGCCTGCCCGTAAATCCCTATAACATGATTGTTTAAACCATGGTTCACTACCTCCAGCACTGGGTAAGTCACTACCTAATGAGACAAGTGTGTCTTTAGACTACTCTAATGGTAGAGCGTTATATCTATAAATGTTTGATAATAATGAACATAAACATTAGTCTCGCTACCCCTGGTCTGTAGTAAAGGATTATTTCAGTTGTTTTGGGTCCATTATTATTTGGGCAAATGAAGAAGTAAAACTGTTAAAAGAACGGGAGTAAAATAGAATGTTATGTACTATGATTTATATCCCTAGAGAATTCTTTTCCATGTTGACATTGGCATTTATCAGAATGACACTGAGTATATCCCCAGTATATATTTGTTGAAAGAACTAATGCTATCCACTATCTTCATTAATAAGTTGGAAATCTGTTATACTAAATTGTTGCCTCTTATCACATGAACACAAGAAGAGACTGTGGAAAATACCTCACATAGTCGTGAATATAAATATGAATTTACTTGTTATTAGTGAAAACATGCGACCTTCTAGTGATGATGTCTAAGTGACGAAGATACTTCTTTTAATAACTCTCATTCTGAAATACTGCCATTCTGTGTCTACTGATGAATAAGATCATATATTCTTCTTTTGTATTAATAATTTCGAAATTGTCAACAGCCAGGTTTCTGACTTATCTCCTGTTCCCCATGTTGCTTTAGAACACTGAAAATACATTGCAACAGGCCAGGTGACTCTATCTATCTATCTATCTATCTATCTATCTATCTATCTATCATCGATCTATTTTTGTGATTTAAAACTATTTATTTGCTTATAATTTAACTGGATTAGGTATTTGGGCAGGGCTCATCTGGCACAACGTGCCTCTATTCCATGTGGTATTGGCTAGGCTCACTCATATGTTTGTGGTAAGTTGGCAGGTCAGCTAGGGGTGGTTGGACATGAATAGCCTCACTCACATGTCTAGCATTGGGCTGGAGCTACAGCTAGGTTTCAATGGCCTCTCCTGCAGGCTGGCTTGGCCCTTTGCATGATGGCTAGGTTCCAAGCAGGCAAGAGTGGAAGTTGCAAGGTCTCTTGAGGCCTAGGCTCAGAAATTACAGTGTCATTTATGCTGCGTTCTGTTGGTCAAATCAAGTCACAAGAACAGCTCAGATTCAGGAAGTGGGGAAATGAACTCTACTTCTTGATGGGAATTGCTGCAACCAATTTCATTTCTTATTTATTTATTTGTTTATTTGAGATGGAGTTTTGCTCTTGTTGCCCAGAATGGAGTGCAATGGCGCTATCTCAGCTCACTGCAACCTCCACCTCCTGGATTCAAGCAATTCTCCTGCCTCAGCCTCCCAAGTAGCTGGGATTACAGGTGCCTGCTGCAACGCCCGGCTAATACTTCGTATTTTTGGTAGAAATGACTCCTGACGTCAGATGATCAATCCTCCTCAGCCTCCCAAAGTGCTGGGAGTACAGGCATGTTTCACTGAGCCCTGCCTCATTTCTTTTAAATAATAAGATAAATAAGTTTTTTGTTTGTTTGTTTGTTATTGCCTTGATTTATCTTTCTTTTCGAATGTCATGTTACAACAAGCCTTACTTGGTTAAAAGATGTCTTCTGTGATTACTTGGTGTGGTCAGGGGTTGATTTTTAGGAGACTCATTTAGAGCACTAAATGCCTTTTGTAGAGGAAACATACACCCTGGTCTTCCTGAGGTGGTCCCAATTTATGCCAATAGGCCAAGATTCTGTTCGGTTTAAACTTTGTTTCATCGTCTTTAACTCTCAGTGTGGTATTTTGAACAACAAACACTTGTTAAAACCTATCTTGAGTTTTTATGACCTTATGGGTACTTTTGTTTTTACCTTTTCAAGGCAAAGATAATTTTCTTGGATAAAATATGCCAACAAAATATGAATTAAGTAGGTCTGTTATCTTAGCATCTAAGAAAAAAGGACCTATACCTTTCTTAACCTTCTCGCTTTTAACAAATTAAAATGAGCTCTTTTGGATCATTTTAAAAGAAAGAAAGCTCCAGCCAGTAAGAGACATTCTTACTCATACAGTTTTGGAAAACACTTTTGTAAACATCCTTGATGAAAAGTCCATTTTTTCACATTTTGCACATGTTCTTTAATAGATAAGACTCAAGTTTATTGATTGAGTTTTGTTTTGGAGAGCCACATCTCTCTTAAAGATCTTCCTGTTAAGAATTTTAGACCATAGGCCGGGTGTGGTGGCTCATGCCTGTGATCCCAGCACAATGGGGGCCAAGGCAGGTGGATCATCTGAGGTCAGGAGTTCGAGACCAGCCTGACCAACATGGTCAGGCTGTCTACTAAATACAAAAAAATTAGCCAGGCATGGTGGCACATGCCTGTAATCCCAGCTACTTTGGAGGCTGAGGCAGGAGAATCGCTTGAACCTGGGAGGCAGAGGTTGCAGTGAGCCGAGATTGTACCATTGCCCTCCAGCCTGGGCAACAAGAGCAAAACTCCATCTCAAAAAAAAAAAAAAAAAGTAGACCATAAAATTATATTTATGTTTTCTCTAAATTGCTTCAAAACAACCAAGAATATACTTATTCCTCATTTTTTTTTTTTACTCAGGTATCAATAAACTTAAGATGATACTTTTGCATTTTACCGTCAAATTTCTAACTTTACACATTTCCTTATCTGGCAAAATCTATTGCAAATGAAAGCTCTTCCCCTTAATCCCACTACTTTTTGTAAATTATCATCAAGGATGGTAAAATTAATTTATGTTATTCTCTGTTTTAAGTTAATGAATCTTTGACTTGATGTCTGGATAACTCACATTTCTATTACTATTACTCTTATGCTTGGCCCATGTAGAATGCTACTGTCCTTTTCTACATTAAACTTTAACACGAACTTATACATTTTTTCATAAGGTTCAATATACTGATGATTTTGTAGGCTGCATTATGCATTTCTTCAATTAAAATGGAAATGTGGGGTAGGACTTTCTTAGGGTCTGTGCATTCTTTATAAAGCCCAGTTGCTCTGGGGAAACAGCCAAGAAATTGGTCAGGATTATTTTTTAGGGGTTATTTTACTGGAGATTTTAAGAACTAATAACATCTTGAGTTATTTTTAGTTCAGGGGGATGTGGAAAGATATGCAATTGTAAAGTATTTTGTTGTAGATTAGTATCCATAATGGAAACCTAAACTGCAGATATAACTACAAATCCAGTGCAGTTTTTGTCTTCTGTATGTTGTTGGGGGAATCAAGTTTTACACATAGCAAGCACACGGCCTCCCTGATTCAGGATGCCTTTGTTAGGGTCTGTATTAGCCCTTAATTTTGTTGAAATCCTTTTTCCTTCTTCCTCTTGACAAGTAAGTTCCAAAATATAGTTTATTGTATCTTTCATCACTGAAAAGTGTGTTCCTTTTTCACATATGGGCAGTTCATACAAGGCAAAAATATTAAAGTTGGTTTTACTGTGTCGTATAACTTTGATGTATATCAAACTAATTTTGACCAGTTTTGATCCTAAACCTCAAATCATGTAATTAATTATTTGCCTGTTTACTTATGACCCAACTGTAATTCTTTTATTAACAAAAGATTATAGGGAAGGATCCCTTATTAAGCTGATGACTAGACCTACAATTAATTTTCCTTCAGTATATAAAGTATTGTACCAGAGTATTAAAAGATATGTAATATTTTATTGACTAATCTATCCTTTAAAAGGAATACATTTTAGGATGTCATCATTTTGATGTGAATCATGTGAATGTTTATAAAATCCTACTTATTATACACTTAGTGTTTCAAGAGATTCATTTAATTGCCTTTTTGCCCACATATATTATGTAGTCTCTTTGCAACTGTTTTTTTTTTTAAAAAAAAAGACATTAAAAGAATGGTTTATGTAGACAAACATTAGTGGATGTTAATTGTCTCCCCACCTGTATTTATGGGTGTTAGATCACTGTTTTCCTCGTTGAAAAGCTGTATTATCAGAGTAAAAGTGTATTTGTAAACTTTATGGGAACCAAAAATTAGGAACAAAACCGTTTTCTTTAAAAAGAAATGGAAATGTGTAGTTTCCACTCACAATAACATCATTCCCATTTCTTCTTTTATCTTCACCCCACCTTTATTCTGAAATTCCAGGAAGTTAAAATTCCTTGAGATAGAGCATTACTTTCTCTCTACAAAACTGTTTTTTCTGTCATAATATTCAACTGCTGAATATCATTATATTAGGTCTTACAGACACCTATGTTGCACATTTACCCTTTTGCATTAAAACTTGCCATTCATTTATGTGTTACTCATAATGGATATTGTAACATAGGCATCTGAAGAATATGTGAATGTGAATATACTGATCTTTTCCTGTGTGTCTAACCCCCACTAAGCAGAACCCGTCAGAAGAGTTTATAAGATACCTTATGTGATAACATGTTTCTGGAAAACAGAGCTGAATAACAGAAGAGTAAAAAGTTAATGTATGTTAAAGGTAATTTGGAAAAGTTCATGTATATTACAAGGAGTATCATTAAATAGACCTCTTCTGCAGGCAACAGTTTTGTTATATAATAAACAAACACCTAAGGAATGAAAGGGAGAAGGTTTTAGACATTGATTTCCAGTGCCCACAGTGTTTAGCTTGGCCCAAAGGAGGTTATCTTCTTTCCACTTCTGAGATATCTGTGCACTGGGTTCTTTCAGACAATCCAGGCAGTGGCACCTGAGAAACCTTGGGGCCAGAGTGAGACCTCAGGTGTGGCACTGAAAAGTAGAAGTGGGATGCAGGCTTCCTGGACCTGCTTTTGTAAATCACCAGAATCATATTTGAGATCCGGGTTATAAGATAATCCATAAGATGCACCTTACACTTAAGAAATATATGGTAAAAATAAAAAATAAAATAAATATATACATTACTGCCTTGCATTTAAAAATACATAAAAATTATTTAACAACTCCCTCACAATAAACTACTCAATAGTTATGATTTCATCTGGGCATTTGCTTTTTTACTTATATCATGTTAATTATTTTACAATTTAGTGTACTCTCATAACTCATGAATAGGGAATATAAATGGTTGGTTTATATATTTGGTCCATTTATTCAGGACTTATGTACTAAGAACTGTGAAATATATGAAATTTTACCCTGCTTGCCAACTAGCAATTTCTTGGATATTGGTACAATATCCTGAGTCAGAGTTGGAAAATAGTTTATAATTCATAGAAATAAGAGTAACTAGAGCTCATCATTTTTGCACTGGGTCTCTGTGCACCAATTCCCACAAGACAGTATACAGTGGGTCAGAGAGCACCTGCACGCACAGTGGTTTGCTTTATAGGAGAAGAACCCTGAGTTTAGAGAACCTGAATCTTTTATTTCATAATTGGCAGTAAGAATGTTTCCTTTTGCTCTAGAAAGAGACACTATCTTTATCTTCAAAGACTATTTCACTTTTTGTTCTGGACTATTATTGCAAGGGTGTGCAGCCAGGACTGCATGCTCTGTGAGGACAAGCAGGAGCCCCACTCCTTCTGAGATGGCAGGGTAGGAGCTCTGTGAGTATGGCTGGAGCCTGCTACAGCTCCAGCCCCGGGCACCTCTGTGCTTTTGGGGGCCTTGGAAGTCCCCCTCCTACCCCCGCAGGCTCAGAAGTGCCTGCTCCCACTGAAGGCTCCAATCTCAGAACAAAGTCAGGGCTGAGCCCAGGTGCTGTCGCAGTCAGGCCAGGTGTGCACACACTTGGGGCAGTGCCAACATGCCAGTCCCCTGCTGTCTTAGCCCCACCAGACTTAGGCCAAGTGGGTGCTGAGGACAGCCCAGCACTGGTCTGCAGGTGGCCCTTGGCATGAACAGCCTGGGCGCCATGAACAGCAGCAGTAGGCAGACATGCTACCAGACAGAATGGAATGGGTCCCTCGTGAAGACCCACCTTCAAGACGGAAAGGGCCTGAAACCTGGGGGCTTGGCCTCCAATCCCACCATCTGGAGGAAGAACTTGTGGTGCTTTTCCCCGGGCCCACCCATGGCCACCCATGGGCAATCAGCACGTACTTCCTCCCCTCTGAGGCCCATAAAAACCCCAGACTCAGCCAGACTTGAAGAGAGGACAAAAGACAACAGGGAGACAACCAGACGACCTGCCAGCAAAGAGCAGTCACCCACTCCAGGGCCTCCTCTCTGCCAAGAGCTGCAGAGATGACCGGATGACCTGCCTGCAGAGAGCAGCTACCCATTCTAGGGCCTCTTCTCTGCTGAAAGCTGAATGCTCAGTGGGATGACCTGCCTGTAGAGGAGCTTCCCACTCCAGGGTCTCCTTTCTGCAAGGAGCTGAGCACTTATCAGGACACCTTGGGTATGGAAAGGAGGGGCCCACTGTGGGTCTCCCATGAGTTGTTCTATCACTCACTAAAGCTCCTCTTCATCTTGCTCATCCTCTGCTTGTATGCATACCTCATTCTTCCTGGATGTAGGACAAGAGCTCAGCACCTGCTAAATGGCAAGGCTAAAAGAGCTGTAACACAAAAAGGGCTGAATCATGCTCCTTGCTGGCCACATCTTGGGTGAAGGAAAGGAGAGAAGAGCTGTAGCCCTTCAGGGACCCCAGACCTGGGAGCTCCCCAAGCCAGGACTGTGACTCCCTCTTTGGGGCCCTGTGGTTTGGGAAGTCTCAAAGCTTCTAGGTGCTACTGCATTCCTCAGTGCCAGCTGGGGAAGGTGCTTGTGGTGTGCCTGGTTCAGCCACAGCATTGGGGAGAGCCAGCGCCCATGCTGGCACCTGGTGCTGCCCACCCTGTAGCAGCAGCAGGCTTGTCTCAGCAGTGGCTGGAACACATGCTTGCTCACATACCCCTTGCTGCTCCATGCCTGTCTCACCCTTGGAGGCATGATATCCAGGCTGGTAGCATAAGCTGAGCACAGCCTGCTAGGCCAAGTGGGCCTAATGAGCCCAGTGGCCCCAGGCAAAACTCAGGCAAAGGTGCCACCAGCCACCGAGGTTTCTGGCCAGAAAAGCGACACCCCCAAAGATCCCATAACATTTTTATACAAAAGAAAATAAATGAAACAAGTGTTTGACCAACAGATATTCACTAAAAGACATTCTAAAGATACACTTTGGCCAAAAGAAAGTGATCAGAGGTGGAGGCTCTGGGCAGCCAACAGATGTAGAAGCAAATATATATTTAAAAACTTAATAATGTCTTTGGGTGAGGGGTGCAAAATAGAGCTAATATACAGAACAAAAATATCACACAGCCAGCTGGAGGTGATTGAGCTGATGTGTTCAGATTCTCATGTTATTCAAGAGATGGGGAAAATATAGATTAGATTTAGACTAAACCCAGTGCAAGATAAGGAAATAAGTAATAAGGAGAAAACAGAAGTTAATGAGATAGAAGATAAACATACAAGAAAAAGAAGGATCAATAAAGCCAAATGTTTGTTGTTTAAAGGAATAATAAAATTCACAAACTAGTGCAAGGCTGAACTAGAGAAAATGAAGGAGGCACAGTAAATACTGTCAGCAACGAAAAAGTGGTTTAAGCACACATGCTGCAAAAAATAGCAATATTATAGAAACGGTGCCATTAAATTTGAAAAGAAATTGAAATTTATACAATTTTCCAAAATGGATTCAAGAAACAACAAAAAGCCTGAGCAATTATTTAATGATTAAATAAATTAAATTATTACGTAATTCCTTTCGGAAAAGAACACACCAGGCCCAGTTGGTTATACTAGTGAATTCTAGTAAATATTCAAACAACAAATAATTCCAGTCTTACACAAACTATTCCTGCGTGCAGAAAAAAAGGAATTTCTACCCAACTCCTCAATTAACACAGATGTAATAATCCAAACTCTATATTAATAAATTAAATTTCGCAATGCATAAATAAGATAGAATACGGTGACAAAATTAGGTTGCTTTCAGGAATGCATGGTTAGAAAATAATGTAATTCACTACATTAACAGATTAAAAGAGACTAATCAAATGATGATTTTTGACAGACACAAAAAGGAATACATGAAAAGTCAACATTCAGTTTTAGCAAACCAAGCATAGCTTAACAATTGATATCTACAGAGCAAAAAAGCTTTACAGTAAACATATTTAATTTTATAACATTGAAAATGTTTCCAGGGAAAAATCAATATGCCTAGCTTCATTATTTCCATTCAACATTAAGCTAGATGTCCTAGCCAGAATAGCACAGCAAGAAAGCTGAAATTTATAACATTTGGAAAGGATGAAAACGTAGTCATTCTTATTTGAAAATGATATGACCATAAACATCAAAAACACACAAAAATTTTACAACTAAATTATTTCCTTAGAAAGATGATGGCTTAAGGGTTTTTTCCTTATAAACATATGCAAAACCAGTCACATTCCCATACAGCAGTAATAAATAGTTAGAAATATAGTTTCATAATGGCTATAATTTACAATAGCATCAAAAGCTATAATGAGGAGATGTTGGTCAAAAGATGCAAAGTTTCAGTTAGGATGAATAAGTTCTGGAGGTCTGTTGTACAGCAAGGTGACTACAGTTAATAATAATGCATTGTATACCTGAAAACTGCTAAGGAAGAAGATTTTAAATGTTCTCCATCCCCCAAAAGTTAAGTATGTGAAGTGATGGATATGTTGATTAGCTTAATTTAATCATTTTACAGCGTATACATATATCACAACATCACATTGTACACCATTAATATATATAAGTTTTATTTGTCAAGTATATCTTAATAAATTGGGGAAAATAATTATAAAGTATATCATAAGAAACCTATCAAAATATTTGTAAGATCTTGATTGGGTAAATAGAAAAGCCTTCAGAAAGACATTATAAAATACCAGGCTGGGTATTTCATAATGGCTCTTGCCTATTATCTCAGCTCTTGCCTATAATCTCAGCTTCTTGAGAAGCAGTTATAGGAGGAATACTTGAGAACAGGAGTTCAAAGCCAGCCTAAGCAACATAGGGAGACCTCCATCTCTAAAAATTAAAATAAATTAGCTGAATGTGGTGGGTATCCATATGGAAATTTAAAAAGTAAACAATGGTTCCAGTTGGGCTAATGACTTAAATTGTCTTATCAAAATTATAAAACTGTAAGACACAATATGGGTTAGTACCTTTATGACTTTTAGGTAGGAAACTAATTCTTAAATAGGGCAAAAAGTACAAACAATAAAGGAAAAAATGAATAAATACCATTACATTAAAAGTGAGATTCAAAAAAAAAAATCGAAGTCACCATAAAGGGAGAAAAAGGACAAGTTGCAGATTGGGAGAAGATATTTACAGCACGAAAGTGATAATGTATTCTGTTAGAATACGTAGTGTCCACAAATCAATAAGAAAATGGCAAATAGCTCAATATAAAAGTGGGCAAAAGTCTTAAACACTTCCCAGAAAGAAAAATCCAAATGGCCAGTTAGCACATAAAAAGATGCCCTCACTAGTGATTAAAAAAATGTAAACTCTAGCCTTAGGATTATGATATTTCATACTCAACACATTGGTAAGTCATGAAGTTGGACAGTTTCAAGGGTTGCAGAAACTATCCCCTGCCAGGAGGTACATATCTATTAGAGTAGGCTAACTGCATAACAAACAAATTCAAAAGTAATTTAATATAGAAATGTTTATTTTGTTTTTAACGTAAACCAAAAAAGATATCCCAGTTATCAAGTAGCAGGGACCCAATATCCTTTCATCATGTACCTCTGTTACCTCCAATATGTGGCTTCTGCCCGGTGAGGTGGCTCACACCTATAATCTCCACACTGTGGGATGCTGAAGCCAGAGGACTGCTTTGAGGCCAGGTGTTCGAGGCCACACTGGGCAACATAGTGAGACCTGATCTCCATAAAATAATAATAATAATAATCTAGGTGTGCCTGCAATTCCAGCTACTCGGGAGGCTGAGGTGGGAGGATGGCTTGAGCTCAGGCATTTGTGGTTACAGTGAGCTACGATTGTATCACTGCACTCCAGCTTGAATGACAGAGAAAGACCCTGTCTCAAATAATAAATAAATAAACAAAATATGTGGCTTCTAAGACCATCCTGAGGTAGTCTCCTGTCAGCCAGCAAGAAGAGGGAAAGAGTTGAAATGAACTGTATGTGGAAGGATTTTACAGGCCAGACTGAGGCACAATCTCCACTGCTGAAATACCATTGCAAGACATCTAACTGTGCAGCCTCCTCTAACCAAAAGGGAGGCTGCTAAACGTAGTTTACCTGTGTGCATAGGAAGAAGAAGAAACGAAGAGTTGATCTCCATCACATTGTGTAAATTCTTAGAAATACTTTCACAAAAAATTTGGCATACTCTAGTAATGTTGGAAATGTATGACATATCACTTCCTGTTGCACATATGTGTACCAGCAGACATGAACAAAAAAGTAATGTAACATTATAAAATTATGTTATATATATTCTGTGATAGAAAGTAACCTACATATCCATCAACTTTAAGTGGAAACAAATTGAACATTATACTGCACTGAAAATTAATAAATCCCAGCTATTTTCAACAATGTAAATAAATCTCAGAAGATATAAATACATATGAAACCTATCAAAACCATAATTTAGTTTTGTAAATGTATTTTTATTATTTTAAAGTGGATAAAAGTAAATTTTATTATTGATATGGCTTGGCTCTGTGTCCTCACCCAAATCTCATGTTGAATTGTAATTCCCAGTGTTAAGGCAGACACCTGGTGGGAGGTGACTGGATCATGGAGGTGGATTTTCCCCTTGCTGTTCTTATGATAGTGAGTGAGTTCTCACAAGATCTGATGGTTTAAAAGTGTCTAGCACTTCCCACTTCTCTCTCTCTCTCTCTCTCCTGCTGCCATGTGAAGACTGTGCCTTGCTTCCCCTTAGTCTTTCCGCCATGAATGTAAGTTTCCTGAGGCCTCCTCAGCCATGCCTCCTGTACACCCTGTGGAATTGTGAGTCAATTAAATCTCTTTTCTTTATAAACTACCCAGTCTCACGTAGTTCTTTATAGCAGTGTGAGAATGAACTAATACAATTATTTTGTATTTATCTTTCTAAATTGACAGATAACATCCGTTTTATAAAGTGATCAATACTAAAAATAAAATTTCATTCAGGAATACAAATATGTATGGAAAAAACATAAAGATAAACAGGTTCAGAACAGTGATTAATTCTGAGGAAGGAAGAAAGGAAAGGGATGGGATAAGGAAAAAAACAAAGCATCTTCCACAGATAGGTAACAGTGGTGTTATTTGCCTTAAACAGGATGCTGGGTATATGGGTGTATAGTACACCATTATTCTTTAATCTTTATATTTTACATTGCATTTTGTAAGTGTTGTTTTGCAACTACTCAATATTTCATTTATAAAAGCATGTTTAATTAAAAAGTTATAGTTCTTAAAAACTACCTTTATTAAATCATCATATAAAATACATTGGTAAATGCATGGTATTGGATCCTTTCTAACTCTTCATTGATATTGTATACTCTCATAGGCATCTCTGTTCTGAAGGCTAATAACTACTGTTAATTTAGTCATCATGTTTTAATTTAATGCAATTACTCATACACAAGTTAACATCTGAAGTTTTTTGCTATTAGACCTGTGTCTTTGTTGACTGTAGACCTGACTTTGATTAAGATCATATCCTCATCACAGTGAGCCAAAAGCATGTGCCGTATTTCTCTCTTATTTCACATTGCTTTACTTTACTGGTAACCAGATTTTTCTCTAGAAAATTGTTTTTCTGTTCCCACTAAACATTTTCTTTGTTTCTTCTCATTTTAATAATTACATTGGAAAAACTCTAATTATTATCTCCAGTACCAGAATTTTAGCAAACATAACCAATTTGAATTTTAATATATTTTGATATCCTTGTACATTAACTATAAAATTTAATATGATGTCTTGTATTTAATGACATGTTACTATATTATTTCTGCCATGAAATGGCATCACTCCTTCCATACAGTCTCTCATTTGTCATGGTGAAATACTTTTTCTCCAATTAATTATTAATACAATTTTAGCATGAAGAGATTCTGTTTTATACCACATGATTTTATAACTGCATTCTCATGAAAATAATCTCAGAAAACTAAAACTATTTTAGGACATAGTAAATTATGCAGTCTTCCCAATTGTAGACACTGTTTAGAAAATATTATACTAAATGAAATTATAAACTGGGTGACAATAATTTTCCAAAATAGAAAATTTTTTTAATTTCCCTTACTCTTAGATATCTAAAATTACAAATACTTGAGAATTCATTTAAAACTCTTTTTTACTTATATAAACAAAAACAGGGAGGGAGTTCTGCTATTATTTTCTGGGATATTTGTGTTTATAGAACTACTTAAATTACATTGCTAGCTTCAGATGTTCCTAAAAGGACATTATGTTATATGGGAGGAAGGGACAGAGAGATGTGAGAGAGGGTCAATAGATAGATGGTAGATAGATGGATAGAGGGATAGATAGATAGATAGACAGACAGATCCTTTTCTGATTTTTGATTATAGGGGATTGATAGTTTGTGAAGGAATCTAGTGGGCTAAAGGACTTATTTGGTTATAGAAATCTCCATAATAAAGTCGATGTGTCAATTGCTTACCCCTAAATGCCAGACCTACACACAGGTGCATTGGGCTTCAAGATGGTAAAAGCGTAATTCTAAGGGAGAGCAACAAAAGAGGCCCAGTTAACACTGCGTCAATATCCCATTAACATCCAGAGATGGCGTTGGGGGAGCTATAAAGTTGCTTTGATCAAGGATCCCCTGCACAGCCACATCGGACCAATCTTGAAAATATATATTCATGTCTCTTAGGTGCAAGGTCAAATCGGTCTTCTAAGGACACTTCTTAACTGGACACACCCTAGAACTGCCATAAGGTTAGCCTCTAAAACCCTGGGCAGCCCAGAATGCCTCAACTGGATATAGAATATAACCAGACGGATTTTGAGGGGAAAAAAGCCAGGACTGGCATTTCACTCCCTGTGGCCCCTATGTGGATCACTGCCTTTGAGTCACATTTGGACCCCATGTCTCCTCTTCTAGGAAAAAGTTCTGTGAAGAGTGATACCAGGCTCTGGGATTTCCTCCAGAGGATACTCACCACATTCCTGTCCTTCATGCTCTCCCAGATTGCTGTGAATCTCTAGCATCACCTCAGGAAAATACCATGAAATTTCTGCTTCTAGGCTAGGATGACTTGGGAGAATGTTGGAGCTGAATTTCATAGCTTGTGACATTTTCTGAGCAATATAAATGCCCTGAAGGGATTCAGGAGCCAACACGATGACCAAAGCCCCTCAAATAAGTTGCTTTCTCTACCACTGGCCTTAGAAAAGAACTTTCTGTATCTGTTGTGGATCATAATTGTTTTAGATTAATCCTGAGAAAAGACAAAGAAAAAGCTGACCTGCCTTCAGATGCATCTTTTTGCTTTCCAGGTGATCAAGTCTTGTAATGTCAGCTCTATTGAATAATTAAATAAGACCACCATCTTGCCTGTCCTCACCTTGTTCCAAAACCAGAATCTCAGTCATACACACTTCTGGATAAAAAGCAGGAGATTTCAGTAGGTATATGGAGAAGGAGCAGGCAGACTAGTTACACTTAAAAAGCCTTGGGTCCCTGCATCCTTTTCCTTTCATGCTATGGTGCATGAACTCCTAACTCTTCCAAATTTCATTTTCACCCTCTCCTATGCCTCAGGGTGTTGGACATATTTTCAGCAAAGGGATATTTGCATGACTTTCTGAACATGTGTCAGTGTCCTTACTGCATATTGAAAATAATTAAAATGCCTCAGAAAGGTATGGCCCAAGGCACTAACTCCCTGCTTATCACATTCACCTGCCTACCAGAGAACAGGGCAGGCTCCTCTGACTGGCCATGGAGAAAAACTGGGCTGTAATAAATGATTTTAATAAATGCAAACTACAATCAAATGTTTTATGTTTTATGGGGTTGGCCCTTTAGGTTGATTATCCATTTATATGTTATTTTGTAAACTACATACATAAATTTTCTAGAAGTAATGATATTATATGTACACAATCTTCATTCATCAGTGAGAGACGTCACATGACCCAGTACTTAATTTTTACGGCTCAAGAAATGCTTAAGGTTTAGATGGTGAAAAACTGAAAAATAAAATGAAATCCAGCCCTGCTTTGACCAGACTGACATTGGGAGGCAATATTTCAGTACAGTTGCTAAATGTGTATCAATTTCTTCCCCTTCCTAGATGCACTGGTAAAGGTCATTCACGTTTACTCACCTACTATGCAATGTCCCCTGTGGTTTTGTGGTATTCTTTTACATAAACTGTAAGTTCTATTTATAGCTTGCTCTAATTGCAGATTCTACTGTGTTCCCATTCTTTTCTGCATATCTGCTCTTAAAGTTACAGAGTTCTTGTTCAAGTGCTCTTTTTTCTTCTAGACATAAAAAAATGGTTGAGTTTGCATTATGGTTGGTTTTTCTGTGAATAAATCTACCTGAAAAAGTATATTATAAAAAGTTATATGCAAAAACCTGTATATTCCTTATAGTTGACTTGATAGGATATTAACAATGTAGCAGTCAAATGATTTGGGTGGCTATCTCTACTTATGTTATACTCTATATGAAGTATACAAAAGATTATCTATATTATTGAGAGTAACTAAGACCATTCTAATTTATCTAATTTATCTGGTTTTATTTCAAAAGAAACAGAATTGTTAGATACTAGGGATGATGATTTGTCCACTTGAACTTAAATCTTGACTACAAAGATATCAAATCATCTCAAAATGGTTAGTTTCTTTTTGAGGAGCTTTTATTTCTTTGTTTTTACTGCTGTTGATTAACAATATCATGAAGAAAATTTCTTATTGAAATAAATGTTATTGATAATAATGCAGAAAAATATTAAAAATAGGTTAAGTGAGGGGCAGAAAAAGTAATTTTAAGCAATATATCTGTGTTATGTTTCCACTTTTTATGCTTTGCGGTATGCAACTAACGGAATACACATATAAATTTTATTAGTGTTAATTGCTTCAGTACCTGAATTCCTTGGCAAGTCTGAATATCTAAGTCCAATTCTAACAAAATCATGTACTTGTTCACTTTGCAAAGGTGCACTTGGAAGATAAAATGGCAGTAACTTATTTTATCTTTAATGTTTGAGGTTAAGCAATATTAATGGATAGTTAATGGCTTAATGAGTGGGCTACAAACCATTTAAGCATGCAATGAACCTTAGCTTTTCAATGACTTTCCTAATGAAAGATCTATATGACTGCATGTCTCGTGTCACAATAGAGATAGTAGGGAAGGTACCTAATCAATTGTGATGGTAAATCAATTGATCTGTAACCCTGTTTTCATACAGTGAGAAAGATATGGAGAGAGCATTTTACTATAGCTTTATTTCTAGCTGAAGATCAATAAATAAAAGAGACAGCTTACTATTTGAAAATGTTCCCTTTTACTGTGCTTAGAAAGCCCAGGCAGGCAGACTGATGTCCTATTTCATAGATGTGTCAGTTTCCTTTGTCACTTCTCCAAGATTTAAAGTTCTTCAAAATTAAATATATGACAGAGAATATCTGTGAGTCTAGCATTTATTGTCATGACTAAGGTTCAGATTGAAGATAAAGCTGTGGCATGATAAAAAAATCCTATTTCGTATTATAATATTCATGAGTATCATTTTAAAATTGTCCATCAAAGAAAAGGTTTTACTATTCTCATTAGTTGATTCTTCTTTTAAAAACATAGAACATTAAAAACTAATTGTAATACTAGTGCTGTTAACATTCAAAAATATAATAGTTTGAAATATTGTTAAGAAAATGAAAAGACAAGCCACAGACTTGGAGGAAATAATTGCATAACACATAACCGATAAAGGCCTTGCATCTAAAATATACAAACAACTCTGAAAAGTCAACAGTTTAAAAAAGCACTTTATAAAGAGGCAGAAGGTCTGAACACTTCACCAGAAAAGATAAATGAACAGCAAATAAGCATATGAAAATACATTCAACATCATTACGCATTAGAGAAATTCAAATTAAAACCCCAATGAAATACTATTATCCTGCTACTGAAAAGGGTAAAGCTAAAAGAAACTGACAATAGCAAATGCTGGGAGGATGTGAAGCAACTGAAACTCTCATTACTCTACTGGCAAAATTTCAATTGTACTGTTGCTTATAAAGTTAAACACACACATATATAGAAAGCTGAAACTGGATCCCTTCCTTACACCTTATACAAAAATTAATTCAAGATGGATTAAAGACTTAAACGTTAGACCTAAAACCATAAAAACCCTAGAAGAAAACCTAGGCAATACCATTCAGGACATAGGCATGGGCAAGGACTTCATGTCTGAAACACCAAAAGCAATGGCAACAAAAGCCAAAATTGACAAATGGGATCTAATTAAACTAAAGAGCTTCTGCACAGCAAAAGAAACTACCATCAGAGTGAACAGGCAACCTACAAAATGGGAGAAAATTTTCGCAATCTACTCATCTGACAAAGGGCTAATATCCAGAATCTACAACGAACTCAAACAAATTTACAAGAAAAAAACAACCCCATCAAAAAGTGGGCAAAGGATATGAACAGACACTTCTCAAAAGAAGACATTTATGCAGCCAAAAGACACACAAGAAAATGCTCATCATCACTGGCCATCAGATAAATGCAAATCAAAACCGCAATGAGATACCATCTCACACCAGTTAGAATGGCGATCATTAAAAAGTCAGGAAACAACTGGTGCTGGAGAGGATGTGGAGAAATAGGAACACTTTTACACTGTTGGTGGGACTGTAAACTAGTTCAACCATTGTGGAAGTCAGTGTGGCGATTCCTCAGGGATCTAGAACTAGAAATACCATTTGACCCAGCCATCCCATTACTGGGTATATACCCAAAGGATTATAAAACATGCTGCTATAAAGGCACTTGCACACGTATGTTTATTGCGGCACTATTCACAATAGCAAAGACTTGGAACCAATGCAAATGTCCAACAATGATAGACTGGATTAAGAAAATGTGGCACATATACACTATGGAATACTATGCAGCCATAAAAAAGGATGAGTTCATGTCCTTTGTAGGGACATGGATGAAGCTGGAAACCATCATTCTCAGCAAACTATCGCAAGGACAAAAAAACCAAACACTGCATGTTCTCCCTCATAGGTGGGAATTGAACAATGAGAACACATGAACACAGGAAGGGGAACATCACACACCAGGGCCTGTTGTGGGGTGGGGGGAAAGCGGAGGGATAGCATTAGGAGATATACCTAATGTTAAATGACGAGTTAATGGGTGCAGCACACCAACGTGGCACATGTATACATATGTAACAAACCTGCACGTTGTGCACATGTACCCTAAAACTTAAAGTATAATAAAAAATAAAAAATAAAAAAAATAAAGTTAAACACACACTTACCATTCAACCCAGAAATCCCACTCTTATTTACTCAAGAGAAATGCAAACTTATATTTAAATAAGAGCCTTACATAGTGTTTATAATGGCTTTATTGTTAATTGCCCCCAAACAATGGTAATAATCCAAATAGGCTTTAATTGATGAATGAATAAACAAATTTGAAAAAAATTCCATGCAATAAAGAGGTAGAAGCTACTGATACAGAAAATATCTTGGACAAATCTCAAATCCATTATGCTAAATGAAAGAAGCCAGGCTCAAAAGGCTACATAATTTATTACTTCATTTATATGGCATTCTTGGAAAGGCAAAACAAAGGTACAAAAAACAGATCAATGGTTGGCAGGAACTGGGAGTTGGGAGAAAGGGCTAACTACTAAGAAGCATGGGAGAAATTTGGTAAATATGGAATTGTTCTATATTCTAACTGTGGTAGTGTTTACACAACTATGTGTATTTGTCAAAACTTAACTGAATTTAAACTAAAAAGATAAATTTTATTAAATTATACTTTAATAAATGTGAGTTGCAGCAACATAGAATAACATAACATGAAGAATTGTGTTATTTCAAAAACTAAATATATTAAAATTTCAACCCTTTACTTGTAGATGAGATGGCTATCCTCTGTTTGGTCTAGGGCAAGGATTGATAAACTGTGGCCCGTGAGCCAAATCTGGCTCACTATATATGTTTGTAAAAAAAGTTTTATTGGAATACAGCCAAATAATTTAAAGCTGCTTTTACACTGTAATGACAGAGATGAGTATTTGTGACAGAGACCGTACGGCCAACACAACCTCAGATATTTATCATCTGGCCCTTTTCAGAAGAAGTTTGCTGACATCTGGTCTAGGGCTAAAACACTATACTTACTGAAATCCTCAATCCTCCCATAAAATTTAGTATTTTCTCAAAGGTACCCATTATTTAAATAAATTTAAATAAAGGAAATGTCACGATTAATAAAGCCAATCAAGCTTTATGATAAATATTCATTAAGCATCTACCATATGCCAAGCATATAAATGTGAAATAACCATTTTTGCCATCATAGAACATAAAATTCAATTCATAAAACTGGAGATTTTTCTTAAAAACTGAAAGCTGTATATTGAGATTAAATTTGAAGGAAGAGTTATTATTTTGTTGAATATTTAATTTATCCTTTCCATATCCACAGTTTATTTATTTATTTTTATATTTTTTTGAGACGGAGTCTCGCTCTGTTGTCCAGCCTGGAATGCAGCAGCGCGATCTCTGCTCACTGCAACCTCTACCTCCCAGGCTCAAGGGATTCTCCCACCTCAGTCTCCAGAGTAACTGGAATCACAGGCACGTGCCACCACGCCCAGCCAATTTTGTATTTTTAGTAGAAACAGGGTTTCATCATGTTGGCCAGGCTGGTCTTGAACTCCTGACCTCAAGGGATCCTCTCAAGTGATACTCAGCCTCCCAAAGTGCTAGGATTACAGGCATGAGCCACAATGCTCAGCCACATATCCACTGTTTTAATTTAAAATTTGGGTCTTTAATGGCCTTCTGGCCTGGCCACCATGGTACCCAACCATTTCACCTTTGCACTAGTTCCAGAGAGCTAAAGCTAATTATGCTTCTCCTCAATGAAGTTCAACAACAAGGTTGAATTCTGGTCCTGAAATTGTTTCCAAACCCCATGTAGGCATGGCTGTCCATGATCTGGTTGCAACTTACGTCCATACTAATTTCTTATTCTTTCTCATATCCCTCATTTCTGCCATTCTAGGTTATTCCTAGACCTCAAACATGCAACATTTTCTTCATTGACACATTTTCTTCTTCAACCTAGAAGATCCTTTTCCAGTTTTTTAGCCTCTGGGATGCCAATTATTTCTCATGGACAAGCTCATTTGCCAAATTCTCTGTGAAGTCTTTTTGATTCTCTGTATGGCATAATTGCTTCTTCCTGATTGTTTCCTTCATACTCTGTAACACTGTTTCTCATGTCATATTGCCTTATTAATTGTTCAATTCTGTTTCTCTGTCTTGATTACATTGCACTGACAAAAGGGACCATGTCATGTCATTTATCATTTTCATATTTTCTCCATAGCACATAAGTTTGTACACTGAGTAGTAGGTATTTCATAAGTATTCCCTGAGTTGAATTTAATAAACTTCAAACTCCAGGTAAGCTATCTTTTGAAAATTCTTATAAATAGTGGTGACACATTCAAAATCCATTAACTGTATCATCTTCTGTTGCCTGCACCTCCACCTACATTAGATACTTATTTTTCTAATGGTATAAATAAAATCGTTTCTACTAGTCAAAACTTCTGGTCTTTTTAATCATCCTAATATTTTTTATGTTCATTGCAGTCTTTCTTTAAAATTATCTGTTTTTAAGTTTACATGGATTTATAGAGCAGACATTGAGGTATGGTTTTACTAGAGGCAGAGGAGAAATAAGCCAATGGTTTTTGAATCTAGGCAGGTCAGCCATTTTCCTCCTTCTCCAGTGGGGTGTTGTCTTTTTCAGCCAATTATTTTTAGACAATATGATCGTTCTCATGTGTAAAAATCTGTTTCTGCACGTGGATCATGTCTAGAGTTACTATTCTCTGTTGTCCAGCCTTAGTCCCCACTGCCATTTGGAAAGTGTCTTTGCTCATAATAGCAAACAATTGGAAACAAGCCAGGAAACTATGTAGCATTTACAAATTGGAATACTATGGAGCTGTAAAGAAGAGGTAGGGATATCTCCATATACAGAATGGGAGAGATACAAGGAGGCACTGTTAACTAAAAAAGCAAGACCAAACCAGTAGCATGCTACCTGTGGTATATGAAAACAAAGAGGGATAATATATCATAGGAAAACATGCATAAAAACACTTTGGAACTAATGAAAAATCTCCTTTAATTAACATTTCCTAGAGAGGTGAGGAAGACTAGAAACAAAACAGGTAAGAGCATGAGGTGTAGTACCTGTTAAAAATAAGATAATCTGGAAAAAAATATTTAAACTGAAAATTTATAGTGACATAGTTTGGATATTTGTCCCTGCCCAAATCTAATGTCAAATTGTAATCCCTAATGCTGGAGGCTGGGCCTGATGGGAGGTGTTAGGATCATGGGGGCAAATCCCTCAAGGCTTGGTGTATGGGAGCCACCATCCACCCACCGCCTTCTTGCTCCTGCTTCTGCCATGTTAAGTGCCTGTTCCTGTTTCAGCTTCCATTATGACTATGAGCTTCCTGATGTGCCTCCCAGGAAGCTGATGCCAAAGCTATGCTTCCTGTATAGCCTGCAAAACTGTGAGCCAATTAAACCGCTTTTCTTTATAAATTATCCAGTCTCAAGTATTTCTTTAGCAATGCAAGAATGGCCTAATGCCCATCAGAGAAATGCAAATCAAAACCACAATGAGATACCATTTCACACCAGTTAGAATGGCAATCATTAAAAAGTCAGGAAACAACAGGTGCTGGAGAGGATGTGGAGAAATAGGAACACTTTTACACTGTTGGTGGGACTGTAAACTAGTTCAACCATTGTGGAAGTCAGTGTGGCGATTCCTCAGGGATCTAGAACTAGAAATACCATTTGACCCAGCCATCCCATTACTGGGTATATACCCAAAGGACTATAAATCATGCTGCTATAAAGACACATGCACACGTATGTTTATTGCGGCATTATTCACAATAGCAAAGACTTGGAACCAACCCAAATGTCCAACAATGATAGACTGGATTAAGAAAATGTGGCACATATACACCATGGAATACTATGCAGCCATAAAAAATGATGAGTTCATGTCCTTTTTAGGGACATGGATGAAATTGGAAATCATCATTCTCAGTAAACTATCACAAGAACAAAAAACCAAACACTGCATATTCTCACTCATAGGTGGGAATTGAACAATGAGAACACATGGACACAGGAAGGGGAACATCACACTCTGGGGACTGTTGTGGGGTGGGGGTAGGGGGGAGGGATAGCATTGGGAGATATACCTAATGCTAGATGACGAGTTATTGGGTGCAGCGCACCAGCATGGCACATGTATACATATGTAACTAACCTGCACATTGTGCACTTGTACCCTAAAACTTAAAAGTATAATAATAATTAAAAAGAAAAACAATGAAAAAAAATGAAAAAAAAAGAGTTTGTGGAAACTCTATGTGGAACACATGTATCAGTGCCATATTTCCTATAGCATGTGCTCACTTCATGTCTCTATGACAATTTTCATATAATTCTTGCATTATTTCAAAGTTTTTCTTTTTTATTATATCTGTTATTGTGATCTGTAATCAGCGATCTTTGATGTTACTATTGGATTCTTTTGGGGTGCCACAAACTGTGCCCATAGTAAACAGTAAACCTAAAAAAAAAAAAAAGAATGGCCTAATACACAGAATTTAAGAGTTTTACTTTATATTCTTTTTCAGCTTTTGTTTTAGATTCAGGGTGTATATGTACAGGTTTGTTACCTGGGTATATTACATGATGCTGAGGTTTGGTGTACAAATGATCCCATCACTAATGTACTGAGCATAGTAACCAAAAGCTAGCTTTTCAACACTTACCTTCTCTTCTCCCCACTCTAGTAATTCCCAGTGTCTATTGTTGCCATCTTTATGTCCATAAGTACCCTATATTTATATCCACTTATAAGTGAGAACATGCAGTATTTGATTTTCTGTTCCTGCATTAATTCACTTAGGATAATGGCCCTCAACTGCATTCATGTTGTTGCAAAGGACATGATTTTGTTCTTTTTTATGGCTGCATAGTATTCCATGGTGTATATGTACCACAATTTCTTTATCCAAACCACTGTTGATGGGCACCTAGGTTGACTCCACATCTTTGCTATTGTGAATAGTACTGCGATGAACATATCAGTGCATGTGTCTTTTTTGTAGACTGATTTATTTTCTTTTGGGTATATAACCAGTAATGGAATTGCTGGGTTGAATGGTAGTTCTATTTTGAGTTTTTTGAGAAATATTCAAACTTCTTTCCACAGTGCTTGAACTAATTTGCATTCCCATTAACAGTGTGTAAGCATTCCTCTTTCTCCATAGTCTAACATCTGTTGTTTTTTGAATTTTAATAACAGTCATTCTGACTGGTGTGAGATGGGATCTCATTGTGGTTTTGACTTTCATCTCTCTGGTGAGTAGTGATGTGGAACAGTTTTTCATCTGTTTGTTGACAACTTGTATGTCTTCTTTTCAGAAGTGTCTGGTCATGTCTTTTGCCCATTTGTTAAATGGGTTGTGTTTTGCTTGTTCAGTTGTTGAAGTTCGTTATAAATTGTCGATATTAGACCTTTGTCAGATGTATAGTTTGGGAATATTTTCTCCCACTCTTTAGGTATTTTGTTTACTCTGTTGATAGTTTCTTTCGCTATGAAGGAGCTCTTTAAAGGTCCCACTTGTCAATTTTTGTTTTCATTAAAGTTGCTTTTGAGTACTTAGTCATAATGTCTTTTCCAAGGCCAATGTCTAGAATGGCATTTTCTAGATTTTCTTTTAGGATTCTTATACACTGAGGTCTTATGTTTAAAATTTAAGAATTTTAGAGATGTATATTAACATGGCTTAAGATGAAAATATTTTGAAGATAATCTAATAAAATATGCTAATGCTTTGAGTACTTGTTATGCAAGAAGTAATGAGTAGATCATTCCATAGATTGTTGAGTTAGAGGTATTTTACACAAATTTATAGCAGTCTTATTTTATATGATTGTATCTTAGACACGTTTCAAAAATATTACACAGGGAGTTCTCAGTCAGCTGCCCATTTCATTTTAACCATTAGTGAATGTAAATTTGGTCTTCTTCTGAAGCGAAAGAAGAGCTTGAGAACTGTAGAAGGTAGAAAAACCCTTAAGATTAGGCCATGCTTTCATTTATTTCTTTATGAACACATGTTGAGAAGTCCTTATAAGAAAGCTAATAATAAAGTGCCATGAAAATTTAAATAAATGCTGTACCTTAAAGGATTCCATGTTATACTAGACATCCAGATACATCTATAGCTAACTAAATACAAATGACCCATACACTTGAAACATTTTTTGAAATGAGAGATAACAAGGTAATATGTAACATATCCAGAAAAAAATAAATTCATGTTTGAAAGCAATACATCAAAGAGGTTTTCATGTCTAGTTTCGTCCACTCTGGGTCTGCAAACTTGATACTAAGATGAAGTTGGGACATCCAATGCAGATATCAATTCCTGGAGGCTATATGGGCATAGTGATTACTGGTGCATGCTGGCTGCACAGGTTTAAAGCCAGATGCCACCACTTCATAGCTAGATGAGATTGTGTATGATATTACAGAGAACAGAACGATTGAGAACAGTGCAGTAAAACAATTAGTGGAAGGATATTTTATTTTAATAAAAAAGAAATTACCTGGAGGTAATTTTGATAGCTATTGCTTACTTCTACTTCATAAGGGTTGCACAATCCTATACTCTTTCCATAAAAGTCTAACAGTGTTTGTTTCTCCATGGTCTCATCAATAAAACATATCAACAACTTTTTAAAAAAGTATTTTCTGCCAATATAATAGGTGAGGAAAGATATCTAGTTTCATTTTGCATATCTTTTATTATGACTAATGGTTCTTTTCATATTGTAATGCCATTTGCATTCCTTTTTCTATGAACTGTCTAGCTCATAAAAATAAGCATTGAACAATTCGATTGGATTATTGGTTTATTTTATATCAATTTACAGTAGCTCTTTGCGTATAATAAAGATTGACCTTTTTATCTATTATAAGTTGCAGATGTTTCACTAATTTGACATTTGTCTTTTAACTTTCCATATGGTTAATTTTTAGTTTTGTCTTGTTTTTGTCTTGGGGACATATGTTTTAGTTTTACATGCTAGAAGTTGCCAATTCTTTCTTTTATGCTTCTAGATTTTGGGTCATAGTTAGAAAACTTGTTTTTTCCAGTCCAAAATTATGAAAGAATAAACCCATATTTTCTTCTAGCTCTTCTTTTTTTCACTTTTATTTTAAGCTCATGGATGTATTACCCAGGGTTCTCTAGAGGGACAGAACTAATAGGAGATATATATATATATATATCCCAAAACTGAAGAACTTGGAGTCAGCTGTTCAAGGGCAGGAAGTATCCAGCATGGGAGAAAGATGTAGGTCAGGAGGCTAGGCCAGTCTCTCTTTTTTCACGTTTTTCTGCCTGCTTTAAGTTCACTGGCAGCTGATTAGATTGTGCCCGCTGACTCAAATGATAATCTCTTTTGGCAACACCCTCACAGACACACCCAGGATCAATACTTTGTATCCTTCAATCCAATCAAGTTGACACTCAGTATTAACCATCACAAGGGGTACAGGTGCAGGTTTGCTACATAAGTAAACTTGTGTCCCCAAGAAAATGTGAGCAAAAGACATAAACAGACCATTTTTCAAGAGAAAACATACATGTGGCCAACAATCATATGAAAAAAAGGTCAACATCACTGATCATTAGAGAAATGCAAATCAAAACCACAATGAGATACCATCTAATACCAGTCAGAATGGCTATTATTAAAAAGTCTTCTAGTACTTTTATGGTTTCACCTTTCACATTTAAATTATTTATTTCTCTGGATGTACAACATCTTGTTTAGTTAAGGATCCAATTTTGTCTTTTTTTCTGAATGGTTACCATTTGCTCTAATGGCATTAATTATATAGAATGGCCCATCTTTACTTTATTGATTGGAATTGCCACCTTTATTATAACCTAAATTCCCCTGTGTATTTGGGTCTATATATTTAACTTCTCTTGTGATTTTTCATTGGTCTGTTTGTCTACTATGCATTCTAATTGAATTTTAATCTCATATTTCTCGTAATTAAAAGAAGAAATGTTAAATAATGTGGAGAATATGACTTGCATTTCAAATTAACAAGTTTGACAAATTTTGTTGCTGTTTCCAGCACTTTCTAGTTTACACTACTGCCTAAATCTTATTTTCTAGTTTATAGTCTGGCGTATATATTATTATAGATCACATTGCAATATAGAAACATTCTTTTGGAGCTTTGAACCCTGTATCAGCTTTAGGGATCTGTAAGCAGGTATAGGGTTTCTCTAGAGCAGACTGGTGAATAACCTCAACCTTTAGAAGTCAGATTGCTGGTCTGTAGCCCTTGCTGACAGTGCAATAGAGTCAACAATTTATTTCATGTCCTCTTATGTGTACTAAAAGGCTGGAAACATAATCTCCCCCCAGACCACTAGAGATATGGAACAAATCACACAAAATATTATCAATACAACATAACACAACTAGCTGTACCTCTCACATTCCCAGTAAGCCCAGACTGATTGATGAATATAAATTTCTAGGTGGAAGCCAGAATATCAACTGCCTGAATGTGGGCTCATGAAGACAGAAGGATGCTTTCGTCCATTTCATGATTTAATGTATTTGCTTAGAGGCTGTTCCTGGCACCATTCGACCGACATAGTGCTCAAATCACATCAGTCTTACCGCACTGGTACTTAACATCACATTGTTAGCCTGATTTCAATAGAAATTATTTGATACAAAGAACTTGCTGATAGTATTTGCAGACAGTGGAGAAGTATAGGTGTTCCAGCAGATAACAGTATGATTTTTCACTATTTGTTCTATTAATGACAATCATGGTTGCATTCTTAAAATAGGCCTTTAGAGGATGCCAGATAATAATTGTAGCAACCATTTTTGTATCTCCTGTCATGTGCCACGCCCACTTTTTTCATGAATATTGATTGAATACTGACAAAATGGTTCTGCATTGTATTGAAACTAAATTATGAATGTCTGTATTTCTTCATCTTTACTTAAACTTCTTTGACTTGCTGGTAAGAAATACAGATGATCAACTTTGTGTTAAGCATATTGCCTTCCAGTCTTCTATCTTGAGAGGTAATCAAATCATCTTCAGTCTAAAGAATTGGGTGTCTTAAGTGTTCTCTGATTTCAAAGATTTTAAGAATTGGAAAGGTTTATCTATGTTAAGTGTAAATACTAATGTCACAGTATTAAAATTTGCCACCAAACAAAAAATGGTTTTATGTCCTCTGAGCTTTCTTATTTGAAATACCAAAAATCTGTAAGTCTCTAAGCACTGAAGTCTCTCCCACTGTATTTGTGGGAGACAGAAAACGAATAGAGGATAATCTCTTTTCCCCTTTAGAATTTTACAATTTCTTGCTCCTTACTCTTTATTTTGTGTAATAAGAGTACAATTCTACCACAACATGGGAAACTCTATTGTCACAATCCAAAAAGATGTACTTCAGTGTTGACTACTAATTGTGCCAGAAACAAAGCTAAATTGCTTCTCAAAAATTACTCTTACATGTATTTATTTAACCAAAATATAAGAAGATATTTATAGATAAACCACATTTTTTAGGACAACAAATATGGCTCAAGCTAAATATGATATAAGGAAATTGGAGTTTTAACCTGTGTTTCTGCAGCCCCTGTCCTGTTGTGAAAAAAAAAAAACCATGGGTAATAAGAGATAATTGTTGTAATCTATAAAGCATGCCTTCTGTAAAACATGGGTAGAAAATCTTTCAACATTTCAGGACCTCACTTCTCAAGTCCTTTATGATGGCTATTGTTCCTGGAAATATCCAAGAGCAACATTCTTTGGAGCACTCCAGGATGAGGTAACATGGAAATACATAGCTAAGATCTGACTCATAAACAATGGGCTACTGAGTTGTGGCTATCTAATTTTTTAAAAGATGGTCAAAAGTCTTTATTTACATCCAGCATTAAAATGGAATTATACCACTTTCTTCTAAGATAAAGTGGAGATGTCATCATTCCCATTTTGCAGATGCATAAACAAGCTCAGAAAAGATAAGAAACACATCCAGTGTACCACAGCTGGAAAGTGTGGCAAGTTAGATTTAAAAGCAAATCATTAGGGAACAGGAAAGGGAGTGAGTGAACAACTGAGAGATAATATAATTAAATATTAAACGGAAATGTGTCATCTTGATAACCTAATGATGTAGCAAAATCTCCAGAAATACTTCCTAATATTTAAATATGTAGGGAAGTGGAGATTTTTCCATGCTGTAATTCTTCTTAAATTTAATCTTTATTTATAGCTCTTATTAATATGGTAGCAATATGGAAAATTAATGTTTGAGACTTTCTTTTTTCTTTCTTTTAGAAAAGGGAAAGCATTCAGTGTTCAGGTGACTTGTGCTAAAGATAAAAGGATGAAAAAAATGGAAGCTGTGGAAATTTCCTCATGTCTTATCATTGGAAATTATATTGCATCACCAAGTTTTCTGGTTTACAAAACAATAGCATAGTAAAACTATGTTTTAAATGCTGTACCAGCTAACCTAATTAGCCTACTTTACAGATAGGGAATCTGAGGCCCAGAGAATGAAGTTACTCAACTAAAGTCACATAGGTATTTAATGGTAGATCTAGGGTTCTATTCAGCGTATCACGATTACAATGTCTGATTTCTTTTCCTTAATATGGTCCATATCCTCTCATTAGGCCATTCCTCTTAGCAGCTACAAATTTGTAGATGATGTATTTCATAATTAAGTGTGGTTAAACAAATTAAAATTTCCACCTAGACCAGAAGGTCCTACAAACAAAATGTTTCCAATTAGCATTGTCTGTGCAGCCAGTAAAGGTGTGAAAATGGACAAGGTTAAAACTGGCATAATAACTATTTGAAGAATGGTTAAATAGACCAAAGCTGTTGCCCTTTTCCTATCTCCCAAAACAGTGTGATTCTGTTCTCTTCTGAGCCTAGAAAATATCTGACAGTCATCATTTTTTCGTAAAATTTATGTGCAGATTTTTGCAAACCAAGATTAACAGACAATGAAGGAAGGGCTGATCTGAGTGTATGAGTATAGATATATAGATATATAAAATATATGTGTGTGTGGGGGGGTATATTGTTTTTCTATTCATTGACTTTTGAAAACAGAAAGCTCCTTACCATCTAAAGGAATATATCCAAAATGGTGAAGTGTCAAGTGGTATGATTTGGTTGAGATGCACAAATGTTCACTGAAGACCAGGTGGGTTTCAAGTTAAATACCTGAAGATATATAAGACATAGTATCTACTTTGCATTAATATTTTTGCAGGCCGGGATCCCTGACTTCTCTCCCTCTAATCATTTCAAATTAGTAAATCAGGAAATCCCAAAATCTGTTGGGAAGGACTGTTAGAAAATGTTAGGTCCTAAAAGCATGGAACCAAATTCTGGCTCTGTCACTTTCCCACTGTATTTCTTTGGTGAATTTTTAAAATTTTGATGAATTTCTTACCTAGAGTGACTGTATTCTCTGATCTCAGAGAAGTCCTGGCTTATACTTGTTGTCTCGGATTAATTAACAAGACCTTCCTCTTTTCAAGAGCTCCTCATTTTCTATAATAAATTATATGATGACATGTCAACTTCAGAATGGTTTTAAGAATTAAATGAACATATGTGGCTGTGTGTATAAAAAAGCTTGAAAAATGTACAAATGGAGGTTAAAAATGAGAAATCCAATAAATGAATAAAAGATTAATGAAGAATGAAGATTTTATTAGTATTTTAAGATATAACCTTTTCAGCATAGGCACAAGCTCTTTCCAAGATCTTGGATTAATTTTTCATAGTATGAACATATGGCAAGTGTTTTTCCTAATATCACTATGTGGCAGAAATAGATCCCATGTCCAGATACATATATTTCATGGATCCAGTGACATTGATTTACTTTTTATTTACTTTGAAGTCATTGGGATACAAAGAAATATAACATTGTAAATTCAAATGTTTTCTTTGCAAACCAAAGGGCTTTGTGATCACTTATTTCTTTCTCTTCCACCAGAAGATGAGTAGCATGTAATATTCTCTCTGAATCATATATGAAAAAGCACAGGACTTACTTCTCAAGCGGCAGAGCCCTGGAGGATTATTCCACTAGAATAACCACTTGCGAAAATATCTCTACAAGATAATGCAACTTGAAAAAGAAGACCCAAGGTGACCCCTTAATTACTAACATTAGAACTCAAAGCTCTTGGAGATCTAGGGGTTTTTCACTTTAATACTTAGCTAAATAGGTTAAGATTATAGAATAGCCTAAACAAAGTCAGTATTGATATTGTTTGTGGAATATGGAAAAATATTTTCCAAATTATTAAGAGACAGCCTTAAAGGATCCACTAAGACAAAAGGCAAAATGGACCCCTCATCCTCTGACCTGTGTAGCAATAAGCTAGGTTTATGGCTTGCCTGCTCACCTCAGGAAGTGGTAATAACAGCCATTATTTTCTGTGGAAGCAATGCCTGTAACCATGTCATCCTCTGATAAATCATACCAGTTGCATCTTATTATCACACCGATGGTTCAATTAACTCACATCACCACTCAATTTATCAAATTAAAAAGGAAGGGTTTTGTGTGTTCTAATAATTGTTTCATTAACATAAAACTAGTTAAGAACCAAGAAGCTTCAGATCCAGATTCATAATGTCTTTATGCAGTTTTGTTTTGATTTTGCTCTGATAGTCGTACACTGACACATCTTGTGTTCTATTAGTTGTCATTATTATTCTTTCATTAACATACATATGGCTATTGAATGTGGCAGGTTTTCATAGAAGACAAACACAATATTACAGAACAAAATGGTGACCATAATTTTGAAGATCTAGGCATGTTTTTAAGCATTACAAAAGCTTTAAAATAAGCATTGTCATCAGTTCAGTATGGAAGTGGTGTACTAATGAAAGAGCTACGTTAAACTAATATATTCAAGGACTTTTAAGATTAGAGAGTAAGGAATTTCAGAGTAAATTTTAAATGATTCTTAGAAATTTTTATCTAACTAGAACAGATAATTCTGTTGTTCTATATAAATAAATCAAGGAAAAGATATATTTCAGAGGCATTGCCCAGTGAAAATTAATTTTGGAAATTTTAAGTCAGATGGTTGGAGAATGTCAGCCATACTTTAATAGTTTCACAGCAACTTCTTCCAAGCAGAGTTGTACAATCATGTGTTTAAATTAAACTTATCACTACACACTAATAATAATGTTATATTGTCCCGTACTTATCAATTTTCACAACTCTTTCACATTATTTTACCCTTACAGCAACTACATAAGTTAAATATGATCCTTCCCATCTTACAGTAGGAACCAAGGTTCACAGGGGTTATGTCACCCAAGTTGAGTCATCCTGGTATGTGTCCATGCCAAGACTAAAGTATAGATGGTCTAGTTAAAAGACACTTGTCTTGAAATCAGAAAAACAGCTTCACTGTTTATTAATGGAGATATAGTTAAAATCTGATTGCCATGTTTCTCATCTCTAAAGTGAGGCTTCTACCACCCAACATAATGAGTGTGTTAAAATAAAATGTGTGAGTAAAAGCACTTGGCACATTGCATACACACTCAAAAAATATCCTTTATTTCTCCTGGTGTGATGCCTTGCTACCTTCTTTACTTACTTAAACACTACCAAATGGAGGTGGCCATGTGGGTCATGTTTCTGGTAACACCTACAACTGATTCTGTGCTGGTCTCTTTTTATCCTAATAGATTCCTCTGTTTATGGCAATGGTGATCATTGAGAATGGCACTTTGACCATCTCTACTTGGATAACCATAAACCCAAGATTCCTCATACAAAATTTATCTCATTCTTACCCTATTGGTTGTTATTTAGACTTTCTCTTCTCTAATCAGGCCATATCTTCATATAATTCAGAAATTTTAAAACAGCTTTTATGTTTTTTTATTTAATTCTCACAACAGCCCAGGAATACAGGTATCCCTTCTCTCAGTTTGGACTAATTTTATCACTATTATCATAGTCTTAGGGACTCAATCCCTGCTCTCAGTTTGGACTAATTTTATCATTATTATCACAGTCTTAGAGACTCAGAACATTCATACATTTTCACCTCTTCCCTACCTGGTTATCTGAATCCAATTAGGCATGAAGTCCTGTCCTGCCAATTTCAGCTTTGAATTGTCTTTCACATTTTATTCTTTCCGTATATTTCCACTTTCCCTACTCTATTTTAGGCCCTTTAGTTACACAGTTGGACTGCTGTAAAAAACTTTTCAGTTGGTCATTCTGCCTCCAATAACTCCCTATATCAACCTCTTCATGTTTATTCCTAGGTAAACCTTCTAAAATAGTACTTCAATCATGTCATCCCTATGCTCAGGGCCTGAGGGTATCTTCCTGTTGCTTTCAAGACCAAGTCTAAATTCTTTAGCACAGCATCAAAGATCTGTCCTCATTTTTGTAATTTTATCTCCCTGTGTATCCATATGAAATAGGTCTACTGTTATTTCCCAGAAACATCTTACAGTTGTGTAACTGGAATTTTATTCTCATCATATTTCCTTTTATATGTACTTTGCTTCTTCTCTCACACTTTTTCACTTTTCTTTTCTTTTTTTGAAAGAGGGTCTTGCTCTGTTACCCAGGCTGGAGTGCAGTGGTGCGATCTCAGCTCACTGCAGCCTCCACCTCTCAAGTAGCTGGGGCTACAGGCACGCACCACCACGCCCGGCTAATTTTTGTATTTTTAGTAGAGATGGGGTTTCACCATGTTAGCCAGGCTGATCTCTAACTCCTGATTTCAAGTGATCCTCCTGCCTCGGCCTGCCAAAGTGCTGGGATTATAGGCATGAGCCACAGCACCTGGACCTTCTCCCACACTTTCTAAAAGCAACTTGTTCTTCCAAGTCTTATGGAGATCCCACGTCTTCCATGAAGTCTTAACTAGCCAAAAGTGTTTATCTCCTCACCAGTTCAACTGATCTACATAATTTGTTCTGTGGACTATGCATACTTCTGGAGGCACATCGTTCATCTCTCTCTCGTGTCTTAAACTGGACTTTCTGAAACCCTGTCTTTGGCTCCTCATAGAATTAGCTTTTACATATACCTGCAGAGCTATCCTTACTCTGTAGTTCCTATGCTGGGGGGGGAAAAAGAAAAATCTATTGAATTTTGTATCCTCTCCAGATTCTGAACTAAAATGAAGGAGAACACAACTAAACCAACATCTTGGGCCATGGATTAATTAAAAATCTATTTTTGCGGATAACAGAAACCATCTAGGCTCATGAAACCCTTCAGCTTTCTGACATATCTGGAAACATTTTGATATTTATTTTAATTTTATAATTATCAGATGAAAAGTAAGAAAAACTCTCTACCTTTGTTAAGATCTGACACTGGAATCACACAGCTGGTAGCAAAGTTAGTTATCATCTAATCCAAATCTTAATAAAATGTTTTACTCTTCTAAACATGAGACTTCTATGATTCAGAAACACTGCTGTTGAATATGGAAACACAAACTACATAATCTAGATTATATTTTAGCAGAATAAAAACTGACATTATATATATTTTTTTATTCTGCTCTGTTTTCTTTAGTTTTCCTCCCACTTATCCGCTTCCTTCTTCCTTCAACTCCCACACCTGTAACCCCAGCACTTTGGGAGGCCAAGGCAGGTGGATCATGAGGTCAGGAGTTCGAGACCAGTCTGGCCAACATGGTGAAACCCAGTATCTACTAAAAATACAAAAATTAGCTGGGTGTGGTGGCACACACCTGTAATCCTAGCTACTTGGCTACTTGGGAGAAGGAGAGGCAGGAGAATTGCTTGAACCCGGGAGGCGGAGGTGGCAGTGAGTGGAGATTGTGCCACTGCACTCCAGTCTGGGCAACAAAGCAAGATTCAGTCTCAAAAAAAAAAAAAAAAAAAAACCTCTAAGGACTGTGAGTTTCATTAATCTCAAACTCCCATACTACCTAACACATAGAATGTCCCCATGAACACATGCAAATTAAATTGCAAACAACAATGCATCTAGCTAAACAAATAGAGAAGAGACGCTCAATTTATGCATCTTCAAAATGAAAGAAGATTATAAGCGTAAGCCACCGTACCCAGCCTATACCTTAACTGAAAGTAAGGTACTCTCAATTAAGGTATAGGCTGGGTACAGTGGCTTATGCTTGTAATCTCAACACTTTGGGAGGCTGAGGCAGGTGAATCACTTCAGCCCAGGAGTTTGAGATTAACCTTGGCAACATAGTGAAACCCTGTCTCCACCAAAAAAAAAAAAAAAATACAAAAAGTAGCCAGGTGTGGTGGTGCATGCCTGTAGTTTCAGCTACTTGGATGGCTGAGGTGGGAGCATCTCTTGAACCTAGGAAGTCAAGGCTACAGTGAGCTGAGATCCTACCACTGCACTCCAGCCTGGGTGACAAAGTGAGACCCTGTCTCTAAAATAAAACAAAAGAAGGTATAACTCCCTTACAAAGGACAAAAAAATCAAATTTTTATTTCTATCATGTAAACTCTAATTATAAGAGGGAATAATCAGCATCAGGATCTGTTACCAGTATTTTAATTTGTGCCAGAAATTAGCCTAACACTCAGTACTGTCTAATTTATTGAATAATAATGTCATAGATGGTTTGACTGCAGTGCAGCTATTCAAAAGTAAAAGAGAGAATAGTCAATGTAATTACCTAGTCAATTTAAGAAAAGACTCATAATTTTGTGTCACTTAGTTCTCATCTCTATCTTGAGCCGTAAAAGAACCCTTCATTATGTAAACTATGTTAACTATGACCAAAGTGGTTGACGATCCCAGACAAAGTCTATCAGATGAATCCCGATGCTTCCACATTCACTGACTTGCTTCTTCAAGGGTCACTGCTGAATAAAATACCTGGTGGGAATATTTCCAGTAGCTCTATCAAGATCATTTTAAGAATAATTTTAAGCCTGTATGTTAGATACTATTTTGACAAGTTGCTACGGCTTTGCTGTTACCCTGAATGTGCCATTTTCTTCACATCTCTCAAGTGAGAAATCACCAGAGATCTAACCAGTGATTTAGTGTTCATGCATGCCAGAGAGAGGCTTCAATGGTTCGTTAACGTAGGCTGATTCCTACTCCTGCTACCTTTGATTCTGGTTTTAATATAAGCTTCCTATCTGTGTGACTGTCACGGGCATAACCTGAGCACACAGCTGACAGCTGAGAAACCAGAAAGTTATTTTTCAATCATGTATAGGAAGCCTCATTATTTAGACCAAAATTATAATAATAATAAATGTAACTTCTTCATATCACCCAAGTGACTGTCTTGAGTGTTGTTTATAAGTCATTGTCAGCCTGTAAAGATCTCTCTTGTTACGTAGGAAATTAAAAGTGATTTTGTGTTAAGATCCCTTTTATACACTTATATTAAAATTCTTTTTCCAGAAGCGCTAACAATTATTTTGTATGACCAATAGAGAATTGCAACAGTTTTTGTTGTGTTGATACTCAATGACTTATGATGCTGAAAAACTAGTGAGGAAACAAAATAAGATGGCCAAAGCAGGCAATCTGGATTTTATGTATCAAAAACACTTGATGGTATGAGTCTTCCCAAAGAAGCAGTGACTCGCTTAGTGGATAAACCAAGAAATAATGAAAAGGAATAGTGTCATAAAAGATGCCTTTAAAATCCATTTGTATCTTGTCCTCAATAGCAAAGTACTGCTTGGAGTATTTTTGTTTTGTTTTATTTTTTAACAGAAGGGATGAAAAGGTATCTTTTTGTAGTAGCTCAGTGAGGTACCTCAGAAAAGTTGGAAATGAGCCTAAGGCACTAACACTCGTCCAAAGGTCCCTGGCCTAGCAGCACAAGCAGGGTTCCCACTAGGCCCAGCACTCATGAGATTTGCATTAGATCTCTGGGCTTTAAAGCACACAGGCAGCAAAAGATCGAGGGGCTGATATACTCTCACATTTCAGCACTAATTAGATAAAAAAGGGAAGGGCAGGGCATGCACCATTGTGTCCTGGAACAGAGAGAGAACACTAGTGAAATCTGAATAAATGCTGCAATTTAGTTAATAGTATTTTACCAAAGTTAATTTCTTAGTTTTGACAAATGTACCATGTTGACATGAGAAGAAGCTGAATGGAGTGTTAATGAGAACTCTCGTACTATCTTTGCAACTTTTCTCTTAATCTAAAATTATTCCAAATTAAAATGGTAAAAAAAGAGAGCAAGAACAGTGGTTCTTGATTCCTCTTCAGCTACTGGGTTGTGGTTATAGGAGACAGGTAAGAGCTATGATGCAGTTATCACTCAGTAACATATCCCATCAGCACATACAGAAATTATAATACCAATAATTTACATAACTGAAGAAGTAAAAGACAATTGGCTATCATTAGGCTGATTCACATAACCACTCACAAGAGTTTCATTTTCCTATAACACTCTAACCCCATCATTTTGTCTGGAAAAGATAAGCTCTATGCTCTAGGTCACAATTAATTAAATTAATGAAGAGTCCATATTTTATACGAGCCATTATTCAGAACATGATAGGTTCTGTGACTATTTACAAATTAGGGAAAATATAAAATTGACCCTATATGCAACCATTAAATAGAGATGTAATGTTTAGAACATTCAAATTCAACAACAACAACAAAAAACAACTTCCAGAGAAAGATTGAAATTGTCCTGAATTATTCTGTTGTCCAGATCTGCTTTATCATTGCTAGCTGGGGGATTTTTGCAGACTTCTTAACTGCCCTATGCTTCCATTTCCTTACCAAAAAAAATGAAGCTGCTAATAGGATCTGGGTCCAAAGTTTGACAAACAAAAAAGTGAGATAATGTAGGCACATTCTTGACAAAGTAAGCATTCTGTCACTTTTTATTAGGGTTTCAACATCACTTGGAATCCCAGGGCTGTTCACACAAAGGCTGCCTGTAAAAGCAGACAGTACTTGGCCAGGTGCGGTGGCTCACACCTGTGATCTCAACACATTCGGAGGTCAAGGTGGGAGGATTGCTGGACACAAGGAGTCCCAGATGTGCCTGGGAAACAAAGTGAGACCCCCATCTCTAAAAAAAAAATAATAATAATAAATAAAATAAAATAAAATAAAATAAAATAGAAAAAATTGGCTGGTCATGGTGATGGGTGTCTGTAGTCCCAGTTACTCCAGAGGCTGAGCTGGGAGGATAGCTTGAGCCTGTGAGGTTGAGGCTGCAGCGAGCTGTGATCATGCCATTATACTCTAGCCTGACGGAGTACAATGCCTCAGAGTATTCTTTTAAAAGTAGACAGTACACAGACAGACATTGGTCTAAACTTCAGGCCCTGAACTATACTCTGTGTTTCTTTTAACTAGCACAAAACTGCTGATAAATAGGATTGCTGCATGAAGCAAGCCAATACAGTGGGCAGATGTTAGATGAGTTCAAATTACAGCTGAACAAAACTTAAGGTATATTTGAATGCTGAGTTCTTCATATTTTTTCATATTTGTCTCAATCTTGTGGTACTCTGTAAAGCTAATGGTCGCTGATAATGCAATGAATAATTTGCCATTGTAAACTCGAGCTGCAAACTGAATGGATAATCTGTCCACTTTCTGTTGCTTGGGTTAGGCTGGTGTGCCAAAATAGAATATAGAATTTGTAGATAATATATACAGAACTTAAAATTTTAAGATAAAGAGATGATGCCAGTATTCTGCTTGGGACATTAAAGAGTAGGTGTTTGGCTTTCTGGGTGGGTGGACATATGCTGCTCGGGAGGTCACCACTTCCTGAACTAGAGAACCTTCAGAGGCATCTCTAACCTCCAGGGGCAACGTCACAAGAGTTTTACATGCTAATTGGCAGACTCTGAGGTCACTCCCTAAAGCACCACTTCCTTGTGGAATGTAAAGACAGTGTGCCAGGATCAGCCAGACCACCTGTGGGCGGGTGAGGAACAGTACTGGGGTAAATGTGGAGGCACCAGCTCTTAGAGCCGTCTCTTCCCATCCTGTTTGTAGCTGGAATGCACAGCCTTAACATACTATTCTGCTTAATCAATTCTGCCATCTAGTGGCTACTTTCTACCCTACTACTTTTCCTTTCCGGCTTTCCCTGTCTGATACAATCGAGGGACAGATAAGGATGCTCAAAGCCTGGGATGCCAGTTAGTAGTGGGTGGGGAAGAGGGGGAGGGAAATTGCAACCCTCCCATAAGAAAAGTAATCATTGGATGAAAAACAGGAGAGGTTCTTGGGGACTTACCTCCAGAAAACCAAGCATATAGGAGTCATGCTGGGCTATGTGGCTTCAGATCAGCAGAGAGAACAGCAGGCTCAGAGACCACATGTTAAGCAAAAATCCAAAAATCTTCAAAGACCTTCCAATGCCAAAAACCTGTGATGAAAATCCCCCTGGGTCTCAACCACCTTTGAAGGCAGCCTTTGGTTAGCCCTGCCCCCTCCTTTCTCTGAAAGCTGTGTGTGCCCCTACTCTGGGCCCCAAGCTGGTTTTTTTTTTTTTTTTTTTTTTTTTTTTTAAGAAAAAGAAAGGTTATTTGTACTCCTGAAGACATACAGGGGAGAGATGCGATTACTTATAGCTCAAAACCCTTCGCTTTTGAATGCAATTTACTTACCTTATGTCTGCAAACTCTGATACTAATGGATCACCATATATCCTAATCATCAGATTAAGATAATGCACTAATAAAGATACCATCTGATAATTGAGACTGCTGCATGTTTCATATTGCCATCAGAGACTAAGTGTAGAAGTCTTTGGGATGCAGTATTGAGTGAGGAAGTAATTATTTCCATGATTGCTGATGCTTTTCCAGAACACTGATTTTTTTTTAAAAAAAAAGCAGTGAAACGTTTATTTGAAGATAAAAATAAAATTTTGTTATGAACCAGTATATTAGGATTTCTCACAGCATTTCAAACAAACATGGAATTCAATAGGAACTTTATATATTTGTGTTACCACTGACCTGAGAGCAACCTGAAACTTTCCCCAAGAATCAGTATGTTGAATGCTGCAAAACAGAAACCTTTGTAACATTTTTCTTGTTATAAAATAAATGCCAGTTATTGGTGAAACATTCAAGAGACTAGAGAAAAGTATAAATTAAAAAATGATAATCAAAAAAAATCAATATCATTTTCGCTCCCTTGACTTAAATATTGTTGACACTTACATATTTTATACTAACCATTTGATTGCCTTAGTACGAGGCAGTTATTTTTGTTTCTGCTGACTTTCCCTTACGTAGTTTATAATTTTTATTGTGAGCTCATCTTAAGTTGGTATTTTATTATTGTTGTTGTATTATATGATTGTCTCCCCTGAGGGGGTGTTTTGTACCCTCTTCTTATGGAAGACTCTCTATATTTGCTTTTGCAGAATGCCCCAGAGACTTTGCTGGTTTCAGATATTCCATTAGTTTCTCTGCTCAGGAATCATATACAACATGGATGTAAAAATTTGGACTTCAGAGTAGAGGTTTTGATTTCTCCTGAGAGGTTTATTTATTTGCCTATAGAAAAGCTTTCTTAACTTTTCCCAGAACTGTTCTTTAAGAACGGGGCAACCCTGGGAGGCGGAGATTGCGGTGAGCCGAGATCGCGCCATTGCACTCCAGCCTGGGCAACAAAGAGCGAAACTCCATCTCAAAAAAAAACAAAAAAAAAAAGAAAGAAAGAAAGAAAGGAAGGGAGGGAGGGAGGGAGGGCGGGAGGAAGGGAGGGAGGGAGGGCGGGAGGAAGGGAGGGAGGGAGGGCGGGAGGAAGGAAGGAAGGAAGGAAGGAAGGAAGGAAGGAAGGAAGGAAGGAAGGAAGGAAGGAAAAGGAAAGGAAAGAAAGGAAAGAAAAGAAAAGAAAAGAAAAGAAAAAAGAAAAGAAAAGAAAAGAAAAAGAAAAGAAAAGAAAAGAAAAGAAAAGAAAAAAGGGGCAACCCTTCCAGGCCTAACTTTATGTCTTGGGCCTCATGGCATGGCTTCCCTGTTGGATGTATATTTGATTATCAATATCCCAAGAACCAGAGCCCTAATTCATACACTTACATTCTGCCTATGGTTAACCTCCTTGACTCTGCAACTAGACATTCTCCTTCTAACTCATCTTTAGATTTTTACTAAAGCAATATTGTTATATTTTATATAGCATTTCACAAGTTTTAGTGGAAAGTGGCTCACATTGCGTCAGTCTGCCATATTGCTGGAACTCAAGTATTTTCCTGTCTATGTATACTGTTTCATATAGCTGAAATAGTATACCACATCCTCACACCAAATTCTCCCTAAATTAGAGTAAAAAATAAGTTCTGTCATTCAAACCCTTCAAAGCTTCCAGGGTTAAACTCCTGCTCCATCTGTTCTTTTACTTAGAGACATCCAGCACTACCATCTGTTTTGAACATGTTTTATAGTAAGTGTTGTGGCCACTGATAATTTATACTTATTAAGAATCATTATAATATAAAAATACCGAAATGTAGAAATAACTCACTTAACATTCTTACAACAAGGCACTCACCACGCAGTTGTAGAGAGCTGTAGAGTATTATATTGAAATCCATGAACTCAATATTTTAGATCTGAAAACTACCTTAGAAACCATTTGCAGTAACCAACTCTTTTAATTGAGAAAACTAGGCCCTAAGAGTTCAAGAACAACATCCTAAGGTCTCTGCAAAACCTCTAGCAAAATGGCACCAAGGCACTGTGTACTGTTCAGAGTCAACTCAACACTCCAAAGTAAAATAAGTATCCAGATAATCTCCTTGTTAAACTTATTAATAAACCTTAAGGTGACTATCTGGAATGAACAGTTATTAGCTGGGTAGGGTGATGCATGCCTATACTCCCAGCACTTTGGGAGGTCGAGGTAGGAGGATGACTGGAGCCCAGAAGTTCAAGACCAGCCTGGGCAACATGGCGAGACCTTGTCTCTACAAAAAATAAAAATACAAATTTTAGCTGGGCGTCGTGGCTTGCACCTGTAGTCCTAGCTACTCCTGAGGCTAGGTGGGAGGATCCCTTGAGTCCAGGTGTTCAAGGCCACAGTGAGCCATGATTGTGCCACTGCACTCCAGCCTGGGTGACAGAACAGAACCCTGCCTCTAAAAAAAAAAAAAAAATTGTCTATGTAACTTATGACACTTTTCATTTTAATGTTGTAATATGTTAGAGTCCACTCACATTGTCTGTAGTTCTAACAGTTCCATAATTTACTTTTAAAATTTCAACATAATTAATGGAATCCTGACTAATGCCAAATAATAATGGTTTGTAAATGAATACAAACCATTTTGCAGCTACAGGTGTAAATGTTTTATCAACATTTTATTATGTTGCTAAAATCTCTGAATATATGAACCACATAAATTTTTTCTTCCTCATTTTATTCTTTGTTTTACTTTTATGTCACTTGTGTTTCTTTTTTAAGTTTTATTTATTCCAATGTGGATTTTATGGGAACACAGAATGTTTTGAAGGTGGCTTGACAAGCTAGAGCAGTACGTTTTGCTGGAAATGGTACTTTAACCCCTATTGCCCTGCCACAAGAAGATCATGGATCTCAGTGAGAGACGTTTTTGTTCACAAGGATCTCAGGATATTTTATCTTTTCCACCAAGTGACTTGATCTTTTTTTCTAGAGAATTTGAAGATAATTTGTTAAAATTTTTTATTGGTAACTTTTTGTCTGTAGACAAATGTAAAAACCCTGTACACATTTTCCTAGTATGTCAGAAATATAGATGTAATATTAGCAACAAGGTTTAAATAGATTGACTCTTAATTCTGAGTATCTGAAAAGAATACATAAACAATGATTTTCCCAAGGGCCAATGCTAATGTTGGGTTAGAATGACAATCTAAAATTCATTTGGTATTTAGATTAGGGTAGATATTAGTTCCTCCCACAAACACATAACCCCCTGGCAGGCATTTTGAATTTACACTCATTCAAGAGGTGATATTTAAGATGTGATGTTTTCAAAAACTGGCACAAACATTAGATAACTACTATGTCAAAAGACACATTGATATTAAAATGCTACAGGAGGTCTGGCTCTCCAAGCTTTGGTTTTGGTAAGCAGTACATGCCAGATGTTTCAGAGAAAAGCATAAAATCTACATTATGTGCCTAATTGTACTATATTACATAAGAGGGACGGAGATTTTTTCTTTCCCCTGACTGCAGCTGGTGATAACAATATGCCCCGGAGCATGAAAGAATCAGGCACCCTGAATACAGGGGCAGCTCTTCACTGTGCTTCTTCTGGAAGGGTGGGGAAAAATTTTAGCTTCAAAAATCTCCACATACACAGACAATAGCAAATACTCCTAATATAACAAGGTATATGGATAGGGATTAAACTACTCGACCAATCAGAGTAGACCTCTACTGTAGGGAATGAATTGGAGAAAGAACTTGGCAGTAAATCCTATACTATTGCAGATCTACACACTATGGATAAACTATCTCCGTAAGGGGATATGACTGGGACTCCGAAAAGTCCCTGGCATTAATGAGGATCTTGCCTAGTTAAAATATGTCATAGAATTAAGCTGGTCCCAATAGGCTTTTTTTCTCTCATTATGTCAGAGGCTGGTCATACAAAGGAAGGAGTGGAGGAGTGAAAATTGTTAAAATGGAGTAATCACATTTTGCCCTTCAAAACTTAAATCCACTATTGACCAATGAAAAGATAAAAGGAGCAGAGCCTTTCAGTCTTGCTACCTTCTACATTCCTACCTAGAAATACAGTATTTCTATATCAGCAAAGAATACTACCTAGGCATAGGTCTATTACACTTTATTGTACCTTATGCATAATTTTTGGATGTAAAATGTTTGGAGTTACTCTCGCATTTTTCTTCCTGTTAACACCTATCACATAGGATGTCTACTAGGCAAGTCAAATCTTTAGAGCAAATTACATTCCATATACTATATTCAAATGTGTAAGATAACACCTGTCTCCAAAAAGGAATTGGGTTATTACTAAAAGAGATTTATTAAACTGAAGTCTTTTCTTCAAAAAAGTATTTTTTCATTCTAAATCACTATCATATAAAATTATACTTAAGTAAATACCCAACTCCTAGGAACTCAAAATTGTCAATCTCTACTCATTTATTGATTGATAGAATGTAGCTACTTTTTTTTTTTTTTTCTGAGATGGAATTTTGTTCTTGTTGCCCAGGCTGGAGTGCAATGGCGTGATCTTGGCTCACCGCAACCTCGGCCTCCAGGCTTCAAGCGATTCTCTTGCCTCAGCCTCCCGAGTAGCTGGGATTATAGTCATGTGCCACCACGCCTGGCTAATTTTGTATTTTTAGTAGAGACAGGGTTTCACCATGTTGGTCAGGCTGGTCTCAAACTCCTGACCTCAGATAATCCACCCGCCTCGGCCTCCCAAAGTGCTGGGATTACAGGCGTGGCCTCTGCACCTGTCCTGTGGTTACTTTTTATTCTGACATTAAGAGAGAACATCGCAGAGTGAAGACTTTACTTTTAGTACTTCTTTAACAAAATAATTTTGATCAAAACAGTTACAGAATTTTGCAATATCCTGTATGCCATCAGATAGTAATGGAGTCAGCATGATAGACAGAAGTCCTATTTGTCTTCCTGAGATAATCTTTTACCTGTCATTGGTTTACATGTTCTTATGTCTCTTTCTCATCTTTTCTATTTTCCTTCTCTCTAAGTTTTGTCTCATTCTCTTGTACCAGAATCTCCAACTTGCCTTTTTATAAATTTAAAAACTTACTATTAAAGAAATCTGTAGAGTATATACATTAGATTGTAAACTAACTTTTTTGGCAACTTAAAACATGATTTTGTACAAAATGCAAACAACAGTTTTGTGTAATGCTGCCATCTAATGGTGCCCATGATGCTTGACCCCTCCATACTTAATTAAATAATCAATTTAATGGAAGAACAAGATATTAATTAAGACATAATCCTTAGATTTTCACAAGTTTTAGAAAAATCTATATATATATATAATGCATAGAATGAACACTTTTGGAAACAGTGTTTTAAGTTGTTGGCATATTTAAATAGTGGATTCTTTTATAGCTGATTTTAATGTCAATCCAGTTAACTCAGACCATTTAGTTTCATGGTTTATATTCTGATAATTTCTCCCTCAGATAAAGACAAAGACTTTCAATAATTGTCAATCTAGCCATTAATTTTATAATTCACAAGCAGCATACAAATGTATTTTTTTATTGTGTGTATTTCCTGAGGTTTACATAGGGGCTGGCCTTGACCCACAGGTGTTTCCTTTTAAAGAACAAATCTGTGTGTTTTTCAGTTTTGCTATATTGTATGAAGCCATAATCTTAAGGAGGGAAAAAGGAACTGCTCAGCATTAGTCCTGGAGCTGCTACAAGCACACTGTACTGCCTTGGCTGAGATATTTACTTCTCTGAACTTCAGTTTTCTTATTCTTGATTGAGAGAATATAGTAGCTGATTTCTAAGTTTCTATATCGTTTCCAAAGTATGTTATTTGAATGACGTCTCCAACTAAGACGCATGTAGTATTATAGTTTATTTCCATGTTATGGGCACAAAGTTTTTACAGCCATAGCTCTGTTTTTCACCATTGATACAGCTAGAGGTGGGAAATAGTGACAATTATTTTAAAAAATAAATTATATTAGGTTGGTGCACAAATAATTATGTTTTTTGTCATTGCCATTGGCAAGGTTATCTGATACTACAGAGAAAAGGAAGGTTGTCAGATACTGCAGAGAAAAGCAATATGTTTTGCAAACACACATTCACTACAGTAGAGGTCTACTCCAGTTGGCTATTTTAGTCCTCATAAGTAAGTATTATACCTAGCTATTAAGAACACTATTATCCTTTGTTGTTAAAGTAGTCTATCATATTATCTGAGAACATAAGCAATTATAAAATCTTTTTTAACCAAGAAGAAAATATACACAGAATAAATATGAATTAATAAGATTCAAATAATATGTAAGACTATGTATTTCATATAGATGGGGTATGCTATGTTCATATCACACGTGCGAAGAAACAAAAAGGCATCCTAATTATGCTTACATATTACATTTCTGGTCTAGGAGCACTTTACTGTAAGTCACCACAAATATAAAATAGCAGAAAGAAGAAAATAATATACTGTCAAGACAAGTCAGAATAAACACAAGAATACAATAATAACAAGCCAAAATCAGGATCACAGAAGCTCATTAAATCTGATGGACACAGGAAACCGCCCAAAGTACAACAAATAGCCAAACTTGGAACCACATTGACAACATTCTCTAATTTTATTCAAGCTCCTAATTAAAAGACTTCTACTTAAGAAATGAACCTAATATTTTTGTATTCATCTTATAAGGGTCAGTAGTCTCAAACACGTAAAATTATTTCTTAAAGCAACTTACATGTCTTCAGTTAATACCTTTACTTATTAAGAAGACAAAAAAGGAGAAAAGTGACTGTATAGCTTCAAAAATTTTCACACAGGCACACAGGGAGAATCCAGGTTTTATTTTTGTTTTTGGTTTTTGGGTTTTTTTTTTTTTAAGTCTAGTTACTGTGAAGATAACAGAAAAATGCTGGGAAAGTTGGAATTCCAGATTAGGAACAAGTTCACATGCTCTCATGCTTTTTCTCTCTTCTTCCCTCCCTTCCTTTCTCCTTTCCTATTTTGCCTTTCCTTTTGATAATTTTCAGTTATATTAAAGAAAAATTTTAAAAGTTCTTAAGGAAAATATAAAATAAGAAAATCCCATTCATTCAGGCTTCTCTGAGAGCTAAGTATCAGCTGAGAAGAAATACTCAGTCACTCTATAGTCCCGTTATACATCATAAACTCTCACGTATTTATAGTGAAATAAAAATGTTTACTGCCTGTCTGGATGCATTTCCCAGAAAAGGAGAAACCAGTGTCTAACTCAGAGTGCTAGGAATGTTATCTGATACTACAGAGAAAAGAGCAATATGTTTTGCAAACACACAAGTAATAAAATACTTGAGTAAGTTCTGAAAGGAGAAAGGAGAGCTGGAGGGAAGAGGCAGGGCTAAAAATCATTAAGAAGATTTTGGTTATAAACCAGAGCCCGATCTGCACACCAAAAAAAGAAAGAGTCTCAGAATGGTAAGATTAAAGTATCTTAGAATTTGGCAGTCATTAAAAGCACAATTTTGTGTTCTTGGGGTGTTTGTATGTCCTATTGTGCTTTTCTGACCTAGATTAGTCTAGTTACTCAGAACACAGCAGTATAGCTTTGCAATAACATTGCCCCATGGCTTAATTTCCCAATTAAACTTAAACAAATTTCTCAAATGCTCATAAAACCCTTGGTGGTGAGATCAGTGCACCTGAATAGTTAATTATTTGAATGTCAGTCTGAGACATAGATAATTGGCAGCTAACAGAAAATGCCTAAGACCTGAAAACAAAAGATTCTTCTATGGCTGATCAGGGAATAAGTGAATAGATTTACTAAAATGGAGATAAATTTTTTGTTTTTACCCTAAAGAATTGGAAAGATACTAGAAGACTGAAAAATTATTTAAGACCTATAAATAAGAAAGAAAAAAAAGGATCATCGGATTGTAATTATATTATAGATGATGAACTTCGGCTGCAGTCAAATGATAGAACTAATATTAAGAGACTATCTCTGTATGTCTCCAGACCAAGTGATCATTTAATAGAAAATGTCAGGGTTATCCTGACTAAAAATATTTTTCTTCTTTGGCTATAATGTTTCAACATATGCAAATATGAAACTAAGTAAAATAAATATATGTATCAGACAACATTTTACAAAATAAAATTAATCTAGTGACTGTCATAAATCAACTTAATTATATAGTTAGTAAAATAGCTTGAGATTTGGCTGGAAGATGATAAACCAGAGGTGGTCATAAAAGAGTTGGGGAGCTCAGGAGAGGTCCCAGTGGGAAGCCCAGGGAATTAGTCTTGGGCTCAGTCTTACTTTACATCTTAATTACTGATTTCAAAGAAAGGCTAAACTGCACATTAACTAATTTGCAGATGGCACTAAACTGGCAAACACTGGGAATTGCAGATTAAAAATCCAAAGGGATTTTAAGAGGTTAGAAATAGGAAACAGGGAAATCTAATCCTTTAAGTAATAATAGCAATGATGATGATGGTGACAAAACAAAAATTCTGGTTAATTTTTTTGTGGAGGTATCACATAGAGACACAGAAAAGAAAACATTCTTCTTTAAGACACCAAGTCCAGAAATCTAATGTGCAGAAGCAAGCCTGAAACAGAGCAAATGCTGAAATAGATGGAGTTGAAAAGAGGGGAATAATGAATCTAAAAATACGAGTATGTTTCTGATATGGTTTGGATCTGTGTCCCTGCCCGAATCTCACATTGAATTATAATCCCCAATGTTGGAGGAGGGGCCTGGTGGGAGGTGTTTGGATCATGGGTGGCATTGGATCATGAGTTCTCATGAAAGTTTTATCACCATCCTCTGTTGGTACTGTCGAGTGAGTGAGTTATCACAAGAACTGGTTGTTTTAAAAGTGAGTAGCACCTCCCCACCTCTCCCTCTTGCTCCTGCTCCGGCCATGTAAGATGTTCCTGCTTCTCCTTCTCCTTCTCCTTCTCCTTCTGCCATAATTGTAAGTTTCCTGAGGCCTCCCCAGAAACCAAGCAGAAGCCGCTATGCTTTCTATACAGCCTGCAGAACCAGAAGGAAATTAAACCTCTTTTCTTTATAAATTACCCAGTCTTAGTTATTTCTTTGTAGCAGTGTGAGAATGGACTAATACAATTTCCTAATCAAAAATCAGTGTAGCCCACTTTTTTTTTTCCATGAGGTTGAGAAATATAATCAGTAGTCCATTGCCACTAAGTGTTCATTTCCTTTGTACCACTTGACTCCTCAAGTAGCAGCCTTTATTTCTTATCCTTCATATTGATATTCCTCTTGGAACATAGAGATTCTTCCACTAGGGCTTCTGAACTAGGTGATGTCTCTGAGAAAGAGAAGACAATATGAGTAACATCCATGTTTGCCTCTCATCTTTTTTGAATCACTAATGGTAACCGGAGTGAGATGAAGGAGGTATCAGGTACAAAAAGAATATACTCCAAATGTCTGAAAGAACAATATAAATGCTGAGAAAAGTTATCAATGTACAAATATTCCAAAAAATGTATCAGAGCCAGAGCGGATAGATGTAAATATTTAAATGAAACAATGAATAAAATCAGCCTGGAATATTCTACCAGGAAGTGAGGAATATCTCTCTTGTAGAACTCTGAAGAAATTCTGGGTTCAGAATTAGCAGATGGCCAATTGTAGGAAAGAGAAGTGAAGTTGAAACAGAGGAATCAATAAAAGATCTTTGATGGGCCATTATGCAGTCTATGTGCCCATCCCACTTCTTTAGCTCCACAGAGGCCATGAAGTTGGCATTCCCTCCAGGCATAGCCTCTTGTTGCTTCTGCAACCACTAAATGCCCTCATCATCCTGGAATTTGGAGGGTTGGAGACATAGACAACCAATTCTGTATCCACTTACCCTAAATTGCAACTTCTTAGCCCTAGGGCTATCAAAGTAGGCTTGTTCAGGTAAGTAGGGGGAGGGAAGAAATTGTGGCCACTATCCCCTCTACCTACAGCCTTAAAAGATGGAGCTCTATTGATTTGCAGAGTTGAGCAGCAATTACAGCCACCCACTTGGCCTGACTTGGCCACACACAGAAAAGCCAACTGAGCCAAGTATAATTCCCAGGAAAGGTAAAACTTCCGTTGAAAATCCAATAGCAGGGGAAATTCACACCAGGTACCCTTTTCTTCCATGAGATCCCTGAATAGATAACCAAGCATCACCAGGCAAATGAGAAAAACCAGTAGCAGGAAAGAAAATAACAACCAGAAGAAACATAGACCCTGGAGAAAATATATTCAGTAGGATGGTAAAATTTTTAGAGCAATCCAGGACATATTAGGCACACGAGATAAGAACAAGGGAAAAAACAGGATATAATGAATGTGACCAATAGAAGTTAGAAAGAAAGACAATTTAAAACTTCAAAGAAAATAAACAAATAGCCCTGGTCATGAAATTCATTATCTAGATAAAAAGCAAATTAAATATAACATGAACTTAATAATTGATGTTGTATTTAAAAGAAGAATCAAATTGACTTTAACTCGAAAAATATTTTTTAGGGTGACCAAGAGGTGAAGGCAATGGGCCTATGGAAAGAAAACTAATTTGAACAAATGACTTGGCTCAGCATTGAATAATATGAATATGATCAGACCAGCGTAAATATTAGTTACTGATTTTCAAATTTTATCATCAATCTATTGTCAAAACATGAAGACTTGATTGGGGTTGCTGGAGAGGTAAATGTTAGTAATCTTCACAAGATCAAAGTAAACACGTTGGACTTTCAGGAGGAAGAGAACCTATGGAGGAAAGGGCAGAAGCACTCATTTCTTCATCTCACAAAGAGAGAGTCAAGAAGTATTGGCAGAAGTTGATGGAAAAAAAAACGGGAGGAGGTTAAGAAGAATGCTATCGATAGTTTAAAAAGTAGTTTTAAAACCTTTAAAGTAATGATATTAAAATATCTAATTGAGAGAAGGTAGAATAGTATGAGATAAATCCTCATGTACCGAATTATGAAGACAAGATGTATTTTAGTATTTTTTTAGTCAAGAAATAGAGGTACAAGTATATCGTTCAGAGTTGTGAAGGTAATTATCACCCCAAACTAAAAGAGACAGTTAAAGGAGCTTACCTTTGAGGAATAGAACCAGAGGTGGCCATTAGATGTTCTTTTGCTGTGTTTGATATAACCTTGGTAAGGTCAGAGAGTTTGCATCTTGCCAAAACTCCTATGTGGAAACCTAACCCCCATAGTGATGTTATTAAGAGGTGAAACCTTTAGGAGTTGGTTAGGTTATGAGGGCTCCACCCTCATGAATGGGATTAGTGCTCTTATAAAGGAGCTTGAGGGTGATATAGGAGTTAAAAATAAATTATTTAGGCAGATAGTGAGGGTAAGGAAGTCCTTGGAAAGGTTTCCCTTTTAATGAAAAGCAGCCCCCAAATAATTTGCTTTTCTAATGCAGAGTAGCCTGTAAAATTGAGCTGCAGACATAAACAAGCAAGCTAGAAGCTTGCACAGGTGAATGCTGACAGTTGCGCCAATAGGAAAAGGCTACCCAGGAATAGGCATGTTCAAAATGGCGGCTCCATCTTCTCTTCACTTTGCCAACCACATGTACAGTAAGGAGCAGACAAGATGGCCAAGTAGAAAGCCTATTTGCATAAGATTAGGGTGGGGCCATACAGCCTTTCCTGCTGCACCAGGTAAATGTCACACCTGATAGAACCAATCTGTGCATCCCACATAAATCAGACACCGCCTCCTCAAGCCTGCCTATAAAATCTGGCACAGGCCAGTGTGGTGACTCATGCCTGCAATCCCAGCACTTTGGGAGGCCGAGGCAGGCAGATCACTTGAGGCCAGGAGTTCGAGACCAGCCTGGTCAATATGGTGAACCCCCCGTCTCTATAAAAATACAAAAAAATTAGCTGAGCATGGTGGTGTGCGCGTGTAATCCCAGCTACTTGGGAGGCTGAGGCAGGAGAATCACTTGAGGTGGAGGTTGTGGTGAGCCGAGATCGCACCACTGCACTCGAGCCTGGGCAACAAGAATGAAACTGTCTCAAAATAATAATAATAATAATAATAATAATAATAACCTGGAGCAGTCTGCTGCATGCCAGTTTTTCCCTTTCAGATCTCTCTCTCTCTCTCTCTCTCCCCCCTTCCCCCCGTTTCTTTCTCTCTCATGAGAGAGCTACTCTCCTTTGTCTTTCTTTTGCCTATTACACCACCGCTCCTAAGCCCACTCTTCATGTGTGTCCCTGTCCTAAATCTTCTTGGTGCGAGATGATGAATCCCGGATATTAACCCCAGACAACAATGCTGCTTCAAGGGGGCCATTTTTCTCTTCTGCCAAGTGAGGACACAGCAAGAAGGCACCATCTATGAGGAGTGGGACCTCCTCAAAATCATGGGACAATGAATTTGCTGGTGCCTTGATCTTGGACTGCCAGCCTTCACAACTGTGAAAAATAAATTCCTGTTGCTTATAAGCCACCCAATTTATAGTGTTCTGTTAAAGCAGCCTGAATAGACTAAGACAAACCCATAAGTATGTATTCCTCCAATAAAAATAATGTTCAATATACTTCATCTACTGTACTTCATTTGTTTTAAAGAATATGGAAATTAACTGACTAGAATAAAACTGTTAACAGATGTCATTTTTTGTACAGGTGAATAGTTGATTCAGACAAAATTTGAAAAGTCATATCTGTAGACATCATAAAGAGACATGGTTATAGATAACATAATGTAAGTATGTATAACTGTGTGTATATTAATGATCTCTCTTGCTGGTCTCTGCCTATACCTCCTTTATGCACTATCTAAGATATTTTACTGACAGTGCAATATTCTACAAACATTAAGGATGTCTTTCTGCCTATAAGATAAATGCAAATTCTTTAATAGGAACTACATTAGTCAGGATTCTCCAGAGAAACCAAACAAATCAGAGATATATACCTATATCTATGTGTATATTTATGTCCCTATATTTATCTACCCTCTATCTATCATCTATCTATCTGTATATAAAAAGGAGATTTATTATGAGGCATTGGCTCATGTCATATGGAGGCTAAGAATTGCCACAATCTGCATTCTGCAAGCTGGGGACCCAGGAAAGCCAATGGTGTAATTCAGTTTTAGTCTGAGAATGAATGGTGTAAATACCGGTTCAAGGGTAGAAGAGGAGATGGGATGTCCTACTCAAGTAGTGAGGCAGAACAAAAGGGATGAATTCTTCCTTTCTCCACCTTTTCTTATATTCGGGCTCTTAAGGGGTTGATGATTCCCACCCACATTGGGGGTGGCAACCTACCGAGGCCACTTATTCAAATGTTAATCTCACAAGCACCCTCACAGATACACCCCCAAAGTCACATATAATCTGGGCATTTCATGGCCCAACCAAGTTGACACATAAAATTAACCATCACAGGGCCCTTCATAATTTGGTGGCAATGATAAAACCTGCCCATCATTCAATACAATTGAATACAACCCTACCCATCCATTAAGTTTATGCTAAACCACACCTGCTCCATGGAGCCTTGCCTGACTCTCTTATAGGATGGGAAGCTGCACTATAATCCCATCACTCACCTTCTTCACCATTCTTCTCCACCCTTCTTTCGTGATCTGTCCTCTGCCTTCTCCCCAGCAAACATTTACTGATCACCTAATGTGTGAAAAGCTAACTTGACAACTAGTCAGGGACTATTTGTAAAGTTTTCTATATTGCTCTTGAGCTTTCCATGTTTCTTTGACTGGGCTTCCAAGCATGAGTGTAATTTCTGTGAAGATAAGGACTACATCTCATACTTGTTTGTATATCTTGCAATGCTTACAGTAGTGCTTTCAACAAAGTAGACTTAATAATTTTTTGTGTGTTAAATGTATTTGCCCCTATAACTTTTTAAACAAAGTGATGATGTTCAACTTGATGTAATTAATCTTACATAATTGTGAATTTTGTTTTATGAGACAATGTAAAGTCGAAATAAAAATTGAGGAAATTTGGAATCTGAGTTGATTCCTGGTTCCATCACTTCTTGCCCGTGTGACCTGGAACAATGCATCTAATCTACCTTTGCCAGAGTTTTGTCACATACAAAATGTGGCTAATAACATCTATATAAAGTACTGCAGAGGGCAGTGGTAAGGATCAAACGAGACATGAAGAATGCTCAGGATTGTTCTTAATGTTCTTGTGAAAGGTGCAAATATACCTGTGAAAGGAAAATAAATCTTGCAACCCCCATATCACTAACAAAGGGAAAAGTCAAGCTAAGTACTGCAGACAAATCTGCCTCCCATTCTACTCCTAAATAAAACAGCTACAAAGATTAAAAAGATAAATACCTCTCTCCCACTTTGTCTGCAAAGAAACTCCTTGTGGATAAAGGACAGACAGAACTCAGTCATCTTTCTGCTCACGTGAGACAAATGCATATCTGATTGCTTCCTTTGCCCTATTGTTTCACTAAGCCAGACTAAGGCATAAGTGACTATTCCTGTAAATCGTATATTCAGTGACAGGCTAATCAGAAACTTACAAGAATGTAACCATTTGTCTGTTATTTACCTATGACCTGGAAGCCCCTGCCCCACTTCGAGTTGCCCTGTCTTTCCAGACCAAACCAACGTACATCTTAGACATATAGATTGATGTCTCACGTCTCCCTAAAATGTATGAAAGCAAGCCGTGCCCTGAACCCCTTGGGCACATGTTGTGAGGACCTTCTGAAACTGTGTCAGGGGTGTGCCTCCTTAACCTTGGCAAAATAAACTTTGTAAATTGATTTAGACTTGTATCAGATATGTTTTGGTTTACATTCTAAAGTCATCAGCTACGTTGTTATTTTCAGGACAAATGAACTCTCAATTGCTTAACACCTAACAGGTAGTTCTCACTCAAATTCAGCTGTAGGTCAATGAGGGGAGGAACACACAGAGGCCCCTGCTCAACATAGGCTCTCAAGCATCTAGGTTGATGGACACTCCACTCTCTGGAACATCTGCAGTACCTGCCGCAGCAGAGGCAGATGGGGATCATGGGCTGGGTCCTCCGTGTGTGGACCCGTAAGTGACCCATCAGTACCGCCCAGAAGCAAGAACAGCAAGGGAGTTGGAAAGTGCAGGGGAGCAGATTAAGTGATTGACGAACCTCCTGTCTCCGCGACGGATAATAATGGGATCTATAGAGAGAATGGCAGCAAGTAGAGACACAGTTGAAAAGACGTAAAGGTCACAACAAAGTCATTTCTGGAGTCAGATTTCAGAAATATAAATTTTTGAAGGAATGCTGTTGAATTAAATATTTTAACATAATACTCATTGTTTGACTTCTGAAAAGCAGTACTTCCCAAAACTTTATTATTACTTTTCATGTTTTAAATTCATGTTTCAAACTTTTTCACGGATTACAGATGGAAAGAATCTTGTTTTTAGAATCAAAAGTTGATCTTAGCCATTATTTTCAGTGTGAACGTGTTTTACGTACCAAACCTGCACTTCTTGTTTGCTGCCAGCAGGGGGAGGTGTAAGAATTCTTTAAGCTTCCTCACTAAACTTAAGAGAAGCTGAAAGGGGCAGAGAAAGTGACCGATTATTAATCATTTCCCTAAAATCAGCAGGGTTTCCTGCAGAGAGACACTGATTATCTTGGAATGTTTTGAATATAGGATCCATTAGAATAACAAAAAGCACTTGAAAAAAAAAAGCTTGTGTAAAGATGCTCTAAGTTTTTCTCTGGTTTTGTTTCATTTTTCCAAAATAAAATTTGTGACTATAGACTGCTTCACTTTTGGGGGGATGAGCTCCTGTATATTTCTGACATAGAAATACAGAAACGAGTCACCTTTATCTGAGCCTATGAATTCTCTGATTCTGTTAGGGAGCTGAGTCCTTCATTCTTTTCTGCTGTTCCTTAAAATTTCTTACACTTTCCCAGGAGTAACTGCTGATGTCCTATCAGTGACTGCACTACACCTTTGCTATCCTGCTGATTATTCATCAATGTCCTTTCTCCGTGATTAAGAGGTGTCACATCATCGCATATGATCAACTTCCTGACTTTTACTCAGGGGTTTAATGGAAGGGATTGTTTTTTGGTTTGTTGGTTTGTTTCTTTGGCCTCTCTAGCTCATAAGAAAAAGTATCTGAATTATATGTAAATCTTATATTTTCTTCTTAGATGAATTTTAAAGTGTGTGTAAAATGAAGAAAATATTACACTAGAGTAGAGGAAAGAGAAGCTAATAAAATTTTCATCTAAGAATAATTTTATTGTTTTTCTGTTCTTTTTTTCTGGTTGTCACTTTGTGCAATCAATCCAAATAATTCAGATCACAAAACTATCTCTTCCTTTGATTCTCATATAATATGGTACTTAGTTAAGTCTTTGGCATTTTGATCCAAACGTTTTTCTAAACCTTCTATCTGCTTTTGTCTATATAGCCGTGGCTATATAGACGATCTAGAATGTGGCATATTGTTCATCTTTTACGCTCAGTGAATTATGAGATTATCTAATTTGTTGCATAAATACATACAGAGGTATCTTTATGCTAGAGTTACAAAAAGTTACACTGCATTATTCAGAATTTTAAAAACTTACTTTAAAAAATTAAGTCTACTATATAACTCCATATCCTATTGCTATGGTTTGGCTCTGTGTCCCCACCCAAATCTCATCTCATATTGTAATCCCCATAATCCCCACATGTCAAGGGAGGGACCTGGTGGGAGGTGATTGAACCATGGGGATGGTTTCCCCTATGTTGTTCTCACGATAGTGAGTGAGTTCTGACAAGATCTGATGGTTTTATAAGTGTTTGACAGTTCCTCCTTCACAGGCTCTCTCTTGCCTGTTGCCATGTAAGATGTGCCTGCTTCCTCTTCTGCCATGATTGTGAATTTCCTGAGGCCTCCCTAGCCATGTGGAACTGTGAGTCAATTAAACTTCTTTTCTTTTTAAATTACCCAGTCTCAGGAAGTTCTTTATAGCAGTGTGAAACTGACTGACACATCTATCATGTATGATTTTGGAAAAAAATATTATCAAAATAACTTCAGTCTCTAATATGTTTACTAAGAAATTATAATTTTAAATTGCAATTTTCCACAACTTTCTTACTTTCGTTTTTTGTTTTTCTGTTTGTTTAAGAGATGAGGTATCACTGTGTTACCCAGGGTAGACTCAAAATCCTGTGCTCAAGTGACCCTCCCTCATCAGGCTCCTGAGTAGCCGGCACTGCAAGCACACACCATCATACCAGTTTCTACTTTCTTTAAAAAGTGTTGCTTTAAATATTTGCTACTAGGAATAAAGTCTTATGACAGACATATTAACTTTTAAAAGAAGACAACCTTAGATCAGAGTCTCTTGAAAGATTAAATGTCCTCTGTTAAATGTAAACAGTTCACCAATTTGGGAACATCTGTTCATACAGCTGGAGTCTAAAATATTTGGATTGGCTTGACAGTCATCCACTATAAGACTTGCTGCAGTGTCAGCAGTGTCTATTCTGCCTTCTTACCACCTTCTTCCCTGCCAAGTCTTGCTCCTTAGCCCCAACACACATTCGCAAATAAACTTTTACTCAACTCTTTATACATCATTCTTTGACATTCTCTCTTTCTAATATATTTGAATTAAAGATGAGAAGAAGAAAGGAGGAGGAGAAGAAGGTAGAGAGGAGGAGGACAAGGAGGGAGGAGAGTACAGGAGAAGGAAGAGGGAGAGAAGGAGGAGAAGAGGAAGAAGAATGGTAGTAATAGTGATGGAAGAGGAGGGAGAGTAGGGAAAGGAGAGAGAGAAAGGAAGAGGCAGAGGGTAGAAAGCAGAGAGGGCGGAAAAGGAGAAGGGTGACAAGAGGAGGAAGAAATATATATTTTTTTTCACCAAGCAAGAAGCAATGCTGAAGGAATCTTCAGTTATAACCACCCACATCAGTGGTGTAGCAGCATCTCTGGTATTCTCTGATTTGGTCTGGTTCCATTGATGCTGGTGGTCTCTGCTGACATGCCGTCTCAAACTAGATTGTGTCTAGAAAAACTAGATTTGTGGTTTTTCTGAGATGGCATACAGCTCACTGTTTCTTGACCATCTCGGAAAGCAGAATGCTTCCTTCTGCCCTTCCCTCCTGGTAAGCACTGTTTGTGTTGTGTGATGGCCACTTGGTTAACTTGGAATCACCTGTGAACTCTGTTCTCCTTCATATGGAGCCAAAGGAACCCCTGAGGTCTTCCCTGTGTTGTGGAGATCAGAAAAGTCGTGCTATCCTTCTCAGGCTGGTGTGGTCTACACCAGCAAGTTTTGAATCTCCTAAAATATCTGGAAGAACAGCAGTCTTTAGTGCCTTAAATGCAAAACTGACAACTCCAGATAATGCAGAATTCCTTCACTATAGTCTACTTAGCTAAACCAAGTCAAAATAATTGGCCTAAAGATTTCACAGCTCAATGAGCATCCAGCCAGGGAGTAGACGTCAGTTTCCCTCTCCTTGCAGACATCCCCAATGTCTATGATTTGGGAGGGGTCTTTTTTTATCACTTGGGTAGGAGAACCTCTTCTCTTCCATCACAGGGTGGTAAGGTAAAAATCTTTCATTAGTAACACTAAATTTCCCTCCAGGCCCATGCCCCGAATGGCCTTCCCTTTTCTGAGTCCTCTCTACCACTCTGGGAAGTAAAGGATGCTTATGTCAGTGGTGGCTGGGCTGGCTCTGCCATTTAGAAAGTGCTGGCTGGGGCTGGGAGTAAGAAATATATTGCTTTCTCTCTTTACAGTGGGGTCCTTAACTCTTCTTTGTTTTCATTTGTGGATTCCTGTTCCAATTCTATAGCAACGGAAAAATCCTATTTAACACCTTATTTCACATTAGTTATTGCTGTTAATTATTTTGATCATTCTTCAAGTTTAAAATATAAAATATTCGTATTAGAAAATAAAGGGCCAATGATGATAAATTAATTTCCTAAGGTCACTCAGCCGAGAAACAGTTAATTCTATTTCTGCCTGATTCCAAAGTCCATGCCCCCTACTACACCTCATGACTGCCCTTGGTAAAGTATTTAACCTCTCTGGGTCTCATTTTTCACATCCACAAAGCTATGAGGATGAACTGTGTATCTGTTGTTATTGTTTTGATTTAAAATAGTTGCTATTAGCTTAACAATGTATTTTATTAGCTATGTGAATATTCAATGGATATCTTTGATTTCCCTTAACTGAATATTCTTTAAATAAATATTTAGTGAAGATACTCACTATACACCAGGCACTGTGCTAAGTATAGGTATTATAACACTGAAGAAAAAAGTTCCTCTTCTCATAGTTTACATTCTAGTGTGTGTATGTGTGTGTGTGTGCACTCACAGAGATGATAAGTTACCAAATATATTTCATTTACATATAGATGTATATAAAAATGTAATTTGCACAATATATATTTGGAAAACACAGAGACATAAACATATTAAATGTAATGTATACAAATTATAGCAAGCAGTGGTATATTTTATGAAATAAATATGTAGGATAAAGATAGAGAATGAAAATTGGGTGCTTTTTTGTTTTGAATCAAGAAAAAACTTTCTGGATGGAGAGTGGAGCAAGATAGCGAAAAAGAAACTTTCATCATTCTTCACTCCCTCAGGAAAACTAAACTGAACAACTACCCACACACAAAAAAGCACCTTCATAAAAAACAAAAATCAGGTGAGCAATCACAGTACCTGGTTTTAAATATCATTGAAACCAGCACCTGGTTTTAAATATCATTGAAACCAGCACCTGGTTTTAAATATCATTGAAACCAGCACCTGGTTTTAAATATCATTGAAACCAGCACCTGGTTTTAAATATCATTGAATCCAGTATCTGGTTTTAAATATCATTGAAACCAGTACCTGATTTTAAATATCATTGAGAGAAACACTGAAGAGGTAGCAAAGACAGTCTTGAATTGCCATCACCACCTGATGTGGTTAGGCTTTGTGTCCCCACCCAAATCTCATCTTGAATTATAATTCCCATAATCCCCACATGTCAAGGGAGAGACCAGGTGGAGGTAATTGGATCATGGGGGCGGTTTCCCCCATGCTATTCTCATGATACTGAGTGAGTTCTCACGAGATCTGATGGTTTTAAAAGGGGCTCTTCCCCCTTCGCTCAGCACTTCTCCTTCCTGCTGCCTTGTGAAGAAGGGGCCTTGCTTCCCCTTAGCCTTCCACCATGATGCCTGAGGCTCCCCAGCCATGCTGAACTGTGAATTAATTAACTCTATTTCCTTTTTAAATTACCCAGAATTGGGCAGTTCTTTATAGCAATATGAAAATGGACTGATACACCACATCTCTCCTGTTTCCTGGCAGCGGCCATATGGCACAGAGAGAGAATGTGTGCACTTGAGGGAGGGAGAATGCAGTGACTGTGGGACTTTGCACTGTAACTCAGAGATGCCCTGTCACAGCAGAAAACAATACTGGGCAGAACTCAACTGGTGCTGATGAAGGGAGCGTTTAGATCATTCTTAGCCAGAAGGTCATTGTTTATCCCAGTGGTGGGAACCTGAGTTTCAGGAAACCCCACTCCCTCAGGCTAAAGGGCTCTGGGATCCTAAAGAAACTTGAAAAGCAGTCTGGCCCATAAGGATAGCAATTACTGGGCAAGTCCTGGTGCTGTGCCAGGGTTGGAGCCAGTGGACTTGAGGGGCATGAAAACTAGTGAGACACCAACTGGGGTAGCCAAGGTAGACTTTGTGCCACCCATTCCCCAACCCCAGGGAGAGCAGCTCACAGCTCCAAGAAAGACTACTTCCCTCCAGTTGAGGAGAGAAGAGAGAAGAGTACTTTGTCTTACAACTTGGATACCAGCTCAGCCACAGTAGAATCAGAAAACATGCACAGTTGTGAGGCCCAGATTTCAGGTCCTAGCTCCCAGATGACATTTCTAGACAAACCCTGGGTCAGAAGGGAATCCACTGCCTTAGCAGGAAAAGAAGAACCTATTCTTGGCAGGAGTCATCACATGCTGACTAAAGAGCCCTTAGACCCTCAATAATCAACAACGGTACCTAGCTAGTACTCTCTGCAGGCCTTGGATGAGACTGAGACATGTGCTGGCTTCAGGTGTGACCCAACACATTCCAAATTGCGGTGTCTATGGAGATAAACTCCTACTACTTAAGAAAAGGAGAAGAAAAAGCAAAAGGGACTTTGTTTTGCAGCTTAGGTACCAGCCCAAGCACAGTGGGGTAGAGCACTTGAGGTCCTCTATTCCAGGCCATTGCTCTTGGATGGTATTTCTGGACCTTCCCTGGGCTACAGGGGAGCCCACTGTTCTGAAGGGAAAGTTCCAAGCCTAGCAACATTTACCGCAAACTGATCGAAGAGCCCTTGGACCTTGGGCAAACATCAGCAGTGCCCAGGTGGTACTTGCTTTCCAGCCCTGGCTCTCAGATGGCATGTCTGGACTCAGCCTGGCTGGGAGAAACTTGCTACCCTGAAGGGAAAGACACAAGCCTGGCTATCTTTTCCACCTACTGATTGTAGAGCCCTAGGGCCTTGCGTGAACATAGGTGGTAGCCAGGGAATGATTACCGTAGGCTTCGAGTAAGACCCAGTATTGTGCTGGCTTCAGATCTAACCCAGCACAGTCCCAGTGGTGGTGGCCACAGGGGTGCTTGTGTCACTCCTCCTACAGCTCCAGACAGCTCAGCACAGAAAGAGAGACTCTGTTTGGGAGAAAGTAAAAGGAGAGAAAAAGAGTCTCTGTGATAATTCTTTGGTATCTTATCCAAGACTACCAAGGTGGTACCTCTAGGTGTCTGCAAGAGCAATAGTGTTACTGGACTTGTGATGTCTCCTAGTGCATATACATTTGCAGTGGCCAAAAACAGATTACAATACTCAAGTCCCTTTGAATACCTGAAAAGCCTTCTGGGGAAGGACGGGTACAAACAAGCCCAAATTGTGAAGACTACCATAAATACTTAACTGTTCAAGGCCCACACACTGATGAGCATCAAGACCATGCAGGAAACATGACCTCACTAAATAAACTAAATAGGGCACCAGGGACCAATACTGAAGATACAGAGATATGTGACCATTCAGAAAGAGAATTCAAAATAGCTATCTTGAGCAAACGCCATGCAATTCAAAATAACACTGATAAGGAATTTGGAATCCTATCAGATAAATTTAACAATAAGATTGAAATAATTAAAAAGAATCAAGTAGAAATTCTGGAGTTAAAAATGCAATAGACATTCTGAAGAATACATCAGAGTCTCTTAATAGCAGAATTCTCAAGCAGAAGAAAGAATTAGTGAGCTTGAAGACAGGCTATCTGAAAATGCACAGTCAGAGAAGACAAAATAAAAAATTTAAAAAGAGTGAAGCATGACTACAAGATCTAGAAAATAGTCTCAAAAGGGCAAATCTAAGAGTTATTGCCTTAAAGAGGATAGAAAGTGAGAGATCAAGGTAAAAAAATTATTCAAAGGGATAATAACAGAGAACTTTCCAAACCTAGAGAAAGATATCAATATTCAAGTATAAGAAGGTTATAGAACACCAAGCAGATTTAATCCAAAGATTATCTCAAGACATTTAATAATCAAACTCCCCAAGTTCAAAGATAAAGAAAGGATCCTAAAAGCAGCCAAGAAAAAGGAAACAAATACCATACAATGGAGTTTCTATATATCTGGCAGGAGACTTTTCAGTGGAAACCTTATTGTCAGGAGAGATTGGAATGACATATTTAAAGTGCTGAATGAAAAAACTTCTATCCTAGAAAAGTATATCCTGTGAAAATATCCTTCAAAACATGAAGCAGAAATAAAAACTTTCCCAAGCAAACAAAAGCTGAGGAATCTCATTAACACCAGACATGTCCTGCAAAAACATGGTAAAGGAAGTTCTTCAATCTGAAAGAAAAGTATGTTAATGATCAATAAGAAATCATGTGAATGGCCAGGTGCAGCGGTTCATGGCTGTAATCCCAGCAGTTTGGGGGGCCAAGGTAGATGGATCACCTGAGGTTGGGAGTTCAAGACCAGTCTGACCAACATGGAGAAACCCCATCTCTACTAAAAATACAAAATTAGCTGGGCATGGTGGCACATGCCTGTAATCCCAGCTACTCGGGAAGCTGAGGCAGGAGAATCACTTGAACCTGGGAGGTGGAGGTTGCGGTGAGCCTAGATCGCGCCATTGCACTCCAGCCTGTGAAACAACAGCTAAACTCCAACTCAAAAAAAAAAAAAAAAAAAAGAAATCATGTGAATATGCAATACTTTTTGCTGTTAATACCAAGTACGTATAAAAAAACAGAATATTATAACACCGTAATCATGGTATATAAACTACTCATAATTTGAGTAGAAAGACTAAGAGATGAACTGATCAAAAATAACTAAAATCACTTTTCATGACATACAGAGTGCAATAATATGTAAATAGAAACAACAAAAACTTAAAAAGCAGGGGATGAATTTAAAGTGTAGAGGTTTTATTAGTTTTTCTTTGCTTATTTGTTTACTTATGCAATAGCATTGTCATAAATTTAAAATAATAGGTTATAAGATAGTATTTGGAAGCCTCATGGTAGCCCCAAGTCAAAAAACACAACATATACACAAAAAAAATAAAAAGCAAGAAATTAAAACATACCACCAGCAAAAAACACCTTAAATAGAAGGAAGACAGGAAGAAGGAAAGAAGGAAGAGAAGATCACAAAACAATCAGAAAACAAATAACAAAATGGCAGGAGTAAGTTCTACTTATCAATAATAATAATGTAAATGGACTAAACTAAACTATCCAATCAAAAAACATAGAGTGGCTAAATGGATTTTTGAAAAAGACCCAATGATTTGTTGCCTACAAGAAACACACTTACCTACAGACATAAGTAGACCAAAAATAAAGGCATGAAAAGAAATAATCCAAGCAAATGGAAACCAGAAAAGAGCAGGAGTAGCTACACTTATGTCAGGCAAAATAGACTTCAAAACAAAAACTATGAAAAGAGACAAAGTCACTATATAATGACAAAGAGATCCAATCAGCAAGAGAATATACCAATTGTAAATATATATATACATCACTGGAGCACCCATATATAAAAGAAAATGTTATTAGAGGTAGAGAGAGACCAATATAATATTAGCTAGAGACTTTGACGACATACTTTCAGCTTTGGACAGATTATCCAGACAGATCATCAACAAACATCAGACTTAATCTGTGCTATAAACTAAATGGATCTAATAGGTATTTACAAGACATTTCATCCAGGAGCTGCAGAATATACATTCTTCTCTTCAGTTCATGGATCATTCTAAAGGATGGACCATATATTAGGCCACAAAACAAATCTTTAAACATTCAAAAAAAAAATGAAATTCTATCAAGTGCCTTCTCTGACCACAATAAAATGAAACTAGAAATCGATAGCAAGAGGAATTTTGAAAACCATACAAACACATGGAAATTAAATAATATACTCCTAAAGTACCAGTGGTCAATAAAGAAACTTTAAAATTTCTTGAAACAAATAATAATGGAAACATGATGTAAGAGCTATGAGATGCATCAAAAGCAGTACTAAGAGGAAAGTTTATAGCTATAAGCTCCTACATCAAAAAAGTAAAGACTTCATATAAACAACCTAATTGGGCATCTTAAAGAACTAGAAAAACAAGAGCAAACCAAACCCAAAACTAGTACAAGAAAATAAATAATAAAGATTGACGCAGAATAAAAGAAATTGAAATGAAGAAAAAAAAAACAAAGATCAATGAAACAAAAAGTTTTCTTTTTTTTTTGAGAAGGTTGACAAAACTGACAAACCTTCAGCTAGACAAAGAAAAAAAGAAGACCAAAATAAATAAAATCAGGGATGAAAAAAGAGACATTCCAAGTGATGCTGCAGAAATTCAAAGGATCACTAGAGGCTACTATGAACAACTATATGGCAATAAATTGGAAAACCTAAAAGAAATAGATAAATTCCTAGACACATACAACCTACCAAGACTGAACCATGAAGAAATTCAAAACTGGAGCAGTGCAATAATAAATAACAATATTGAAGATGTAATAAAAAGTTACTCAGCAAAGAGAAGCCCAGGACCCAGTGGCTTCACTGCTAAATTTTACCAAACATTAAAAGAAGAACTAATACCAATCCCACTCAAATTATTCTGAAAAATAGAGGAGGGGATACTTCCAAACTCATTCTATGAGGCCAGTATTACCTTGACACCAAAACAGACAAAGACATCTCAATAAAAGAAAACTAGGTCAATATCCCTGATGAACACTGATGTAAACATCCTCAACAAAATATTAGGAAACTGAATTCCAAAACACATTAAACAGATCATTTATCATGACCCAGCAAGATTAATCCCAGGGATGCAAGGATGGTTCAACATATGTAAATCAATCAATGTGATACATCATACCAGCAGAACGAAGGACAAAAGCCATATGAACATTTCAACTGATGCTAAGAAAACATTTGATAAAACTCAATATCCCCTTAGGATAAAAAAGTCACCAATAAACTGGGTATAGAAGGAACATACCTCAACACAATAAAAGCCAAATATGACAGACCTACTGTTAGCATCATACTAAATGGGGGAAAACTAAAACCCTTTCCTCTAAGATCCAGAACATGACAAGGATGATCACTTTTACCACCATTATTTAACATACTACTAGAAGTCCTAGGTAGAGCAACAAGACAAGAGAAAGAAATAAAGGGCATCCAAATTGGAAAAGGAGAAGTCAAATTATCCTTGTTTATAGACTATATGATCTTATATTTGGAAAAACCTAAATACTCTACCAAAAAACTATTAGAACTAATAAACAAATTTAGTAAAGTTGCTGGATACCAAATCAATATAGATAAAAAAATTAGTAGTATTTCTATATGTTAACAGCAAACAATCAAAAAAAAGAAATCAAGAAAGGAACCCCATTTACAATAGTTACAAATAAAATAAAATACCTAGGAATAAACTTAGCCAAGGAAGTAAAAGATCTTTCCAATGAAAACTATAAAACATTAATGAAAGAAATTGAAGAGGACACAAAAAAATGGAAAGGTTTTTCATGTTCATGGATTTGAAGAATCAATATTGTTAAAATATCCATACTACCTAAAGCAGTCTACAGGTTTAAAGCAATCTCTATCAAAATAGCAATGACATTCTTTGGAGAAATGGAAAAAACAATCCTAAAATTTATATGGAACCACAGAAGACCCAGAATAGCCAAACCTATCTTGAGAAAAAAAAAAAAAAAAAAAACTGAACTAATCACATTACCTGACTTCAAATTATAGTACAAAATTATAGTAAACAAAATGGCATGGTTCTGGCATAAAAACAGACACATAGGCCAATGGAACATAATAGAGAACCCAGAAATAAATGCATACACCTACAATGAACTCATTTTTTATAAAGGTGCCAAAAGAAAAGACATATATTGGGGAAAAGACAGTCTCTTTAATAAATAGTGCTGGGAAAAGCGGATATCTAGATGCAGAAGAATGAAACTAGACCTCACTTCTTGACCTGTACAAAAATCAAATCAAAATGGATTAAAGACTTAAATCTAAGATCTCACACTATGAAGCTACTACAAGAAACCATTGAGGACTCTCTCCAGACATGGGACTGGACAAAGATTTCTTGAGTAATACCCCACAAACACAGCCAGCCAAAGAAAAAATGGACAAATTGGATCACATCAAGCTAAAAAGCTTCTTCACAGCAAAGGAAATAATCAATAAAGAGACAATCCATATAATGGGAAAGAATATTCTAAAACTATCTACTTGACAATAGATGAATAACTAGAATATATGAAAAGCTGACAATTCTATAGGAAAAAAATCTAATAATTCAATTTTAAAAATGGGCAAAAATATGAATAACTATTTCTCAAAAGAAGACATACAAATGACAAACAGGTATACGAAAAAGTGCTCAACATCATTAACCATCACAAAAATGCAAATCAAAACCTCAATGAGATATCATCTTACCCTAGTTATGGCTTTTATCCAAAAGACAGACAATAACAAATACTGGCAAGAATGTGGAGAAAAAGAACTCACACACTGTTGGTAGGAATATAAATTAGTACAATCACTATGAAGAACATTTTGGAGGCTCCTAAAAATAATTAAAAATAGAGCTACCTTATGATCCAGAAATCCTACTGCTAGGTATATACTCAAAAGAAAGGAAATCAGTCTATCAAAGAGATATCTGCACTCCCACGTTTATTGCGGCACTGTTCACCATAGCCAAGATTTGGAAGCAATCTAAGTGTCCATCAACAGACAAATGGATAAAGAAAATGTGGTACATGTACCACAATGGAGTGTTGTTTAGCCATCAAAAATAATGAGATCCTGTCATTTGCAATAAAATGGTTGGAACTGGAGGTCTTTATGTTATGTGAAATAAGCCAGGCTCAGAAAGACAAACTTCATATGTTCACACTTATTTGTGGGAGCTAAAAATTAAAACAGTTAAACTCATGGAGATAAAGAATAGAGTAATGTTTACCAGCATCTGGAAAGGGCAGTACAGGGGAATGGGGGATGGTTAATGGGTACAAAAATATAGTTAGGATTAGTAAGATTTAGTATTTCATAGCGCAGCAGGATGATTACAGTCAAATTAATTTATTTAACATTTTAAAGTAACTAAAGGATTGCCATTGGATTGTTTTTAACACAAAGAAAGAATAAATGCTAGAGGAGATTATACCCCGTTTACCCTGATATGACTATTACACAATGTATGCCTGTATCAAAATATCTCTTGTACCCCATAAGTATATACCTACTTTTGTGAGTATGTACCTATTATATACTCACAAAAATTAAAAATTAAAAAAAAACCTTTCTGAGTAAATGTAATCTGAGCAGACATGTGAATGAAATGTGATCATGATGCTATTTAGATATCTGGAAGATCATTTCAGGCTGGTGGAGCAGCTAGTGGAAACGCTTCAACATGTTTCAGAATCAGAAAAAGGCCAGTGTGGCTAGAGAGCAATAAGCAGAACAGACAGAGGGCAGGTGAGTCAGAACAATTATGGAGGTATCGTGGCTGTAGTATTGACTTTGGATTTTATTCTGAGTGAGATGGGAAGCCATTTAGCGCAACAGAATGAAATTACCTGACTTTTTATAGTAAGCATTTTAACTAATGGATTGAGACTAGACTAAAATGGAAGCAAGTGAGGAAGTGTGGAGACCAGTTAGGGCTACCACACTCACATGGGAAAGGTGAGGGAGACTGGGACTTGGGTGCTAGCAGTTAAGATGGTGAGAAGCAGTTGGGTTTTAGATGTGTTTTGAAAGTAGAGCTGACAGAATTTGCTGATGGATTAGATGTGAGATGTTTGAGAAAGACAAAAAGGCCAAGCATAATTACAAAAAAATTTGGCCTACATTTACAGATATGCAGAGGATTAGGTTTGAGGGGTAAATTCTAGAGGTTGCTAGTGAACATGTTGAGTGTTATCTGAATTCTTGATATCCAAGTGTAGTGGTTGAGAAGGTAGGTCAGAGAATGAGTCAAAGAATGACAAAATTTTGAAGATCATCACCATGATCTTTTTGGGCAAGATTTTCTCCAGTCTTGGGAAAAATATGAAACTGAGGTACAGAAAGATTAACTGACTTTCTGACAAATTCAAAGCTAGAAAACAGCCATTATCCTGAGGAAACTGACGCAGGAACAGAAAACCAAATACCACATTTTCTCACTTATATATGGGAGCTAAATGATGAGAACACATGGACACATAGAGGGGAACAACACACACTGGAGATTTTTGGAGGGTGGAGGTTGGGAGGAGGGAGAGGATTAGGAAAAATAACTAATGGTTACTAGGCTTAATAACTGGGTGATGAAATAATCTGTACAACAAACTCCCATGACACAAGTTTACCTATGTAACAAACCTGCATATGTACCCCTGAACTTAAAATAAAAGTTAAAAAAAAAATGACAGAGTAGAGAATCAAAGAGAGGTGGTCTGGATCCAGAGTCCATACTGTAACAAATGTGCTATGGTATGTTGGCTCCCCATTTATTTGAGCCTCCATTCTTCAAGATTTTGTCAGCTATACTGTTGCTTTAAAATGTGTCAAGGTTCATAACACTTACATTCTATCTCGTTAATATATTTCCCACCATTAATCTTTATTCTATACTTAAATGTTCTCAATTATCACCACCACTCCTTTTACATCAGCATCAGCCTCTCCATCCCTGATTTTTTAAAGATATTTACTTCTTGGTGGGCTTGATTCCATCATCAGTTGTGTTCTTTTTTTCCTTTTTTTTTTTTTTTAGAAAGGCTCACACCCATCTCATGCAGCAAGGTAATGTTTCTTGTAAATGTCTAGCTTTGACGATATATCAAAGAACCATTTGTTTTTTAGTATAACTTCCTTTCCCAGAGAATTTTGCAGACATGGCTCTCCATTGTCTCTTAGTACTGTGTGCTCCTTTCCTTGAATCTTTTCCACTTATATTTCTGTTGGCTGCTCTTTGTCATCAAGTATTTTTGGAGAAAAATTATAGATATTCTTTTCTTCCTTTTATTTGTATGTTGAAATTGTCTGACAATTGCCTTTATATTTCAGTTGACAAGTTATCTACTTACACTATTTTAAGTCACATTTCTTCTTCAAAATTTGGTATCAGTCATCCCAGGGACAGGAATGCAACTGTGGGTGCCAGAAGCAGGGTTGCATTTTAAGCAAGAAGCTGTAATATACCTTTAGACCATTGTGTCAAAATTCCTAAGGGCCTAATAGAGTAGATTGTGCCTTCACCCCATCTGGCAAAGTTGGGGTTAACAGTGAATGTTACTGTGATGCCAAGTGGTCAGGTATATCTCACTAATTCCATACCTATGTAACCCTGCCCCATATGGTTGGGGGTAGACTGATGGAGAAGCCCTTGCTACACTGGTACTGCTACTAGCAATCTGGGCCAGCATAGTGGCCAAACCTAATGTCCTCTCCCAAGGATATTAGAAAAAGTGTGGATAAAAATAAATAACACATGAGGAGAGGGAGAAATAGTAGTTTGGAGTAAAAGAATAAATAATTGGGTTATGCAACCAGAGAAATCCAACATTATGAAGCTCAGAGCAAGAGAATAATATTGTATTTCAGCACAATTATACCAGATGTCCAAGAAAATGAAGCTATATGTTTGCCAAGGCCTAGTTTTTGGAAACTGGCAAGGTTGAACAGCAGTCTACAAACCTGACTGACATCACTAAGAGACATTCTGGTCATACGATATGATGGGAAACTGGACAAGCTGTTAATAACTAAATGAAACTTTAATAATATGCCAATGCCTTGGACTCCTACTTCTCAGGCTACCTGTACCTCAAAAGGTAGACATTATTTGGGAGGGAATTTCTGAGAACTTCTTCCTACTGGGACTTCAAACTCTGTGATGTTGTAGCTCCCAACAGACTGATCGCTGTGTAACCAAATGCCTAGAAATGTATCTGATTAAAATGGGCAAATCGTAACAGCAGCCAGCCCAACATGTCACTGTGTGCTATGCACAAATGTACATCATCCTTGTTTTGTAGATGTAAAACTACCAAGTAAAATAGAGAAATACAATGGGTCCCTGATGGGATTAAAGCAGTGAGCATCACCTGGTGGATCCCTTAGGGAACAGTCCCACCCAGAGACAAGAAACGCTGTGGGAGGCCTCATGGCACACTCAAACCAAAGTACATCAAGGAGTGACTACCTCTCATCTAACTCTAGTACAGAAGACCCAACATCTGGGGGTGTAAGACATGTATCCTAACTGCACTGGTGTGATAAGTGTCAGTCTAGTTATCCTGAGACAAGCTGTGTTTGCTTTTAATGAGGAGTGGCAGTCAGAGGAAAACTAGAATAGAGAGGGTTCTCTTCCACGAGGAGGGCAAATGATGGGAGTTAGCCCTGGAAATATAATGAGGCTTTAGCAAAGTGGGTCACGAAGACTCAATAAATAACGTAGGGTACTGCTAAAACCCAGTACTGGGAAAGGATTTGTGCCTGGACCCAATAGGGCCTCAATTATTTTAATACACATGGAAGCTGAAGTGGGCATAAGTCAGTGGCCCTCTATTCTAGCTCCTGAAGCTCAAGGGGCACACCTATGGGAATCTTATGACTCCCCAAACATGTAAAATTCTTTGGAGGCACTTTTGATTTACACTGATGTCTTGTGACAGTTCTGGCCCCCAGAATAGTTTGCTAAATACTACTCATGACTTCCCCATTGGAGGGAAGAGAGCCCTGTTACATAATAACAACACACAATGGAAACCAGTCTAGATTTGAGCCTGTAAGGTGAGATGAGATGATTGGCTTTGTCCTCAGTTGTAGATTCTGTTGGGAAGGCAAAGCAAATACCTCTGTAATTCTTACTACTTTGTTGTGTATTCTGTAATGAAACTGAATTATACCATGTTCATACTATAATATTGTGTAATACTGGCATTGTTGGTAAGATTCAATTACACTAAGTAATAAGACTTATGACAATACTAATATTGATTATAAAATGTATTGGGAGATTGACTTAAAGCTCCTTCAGGACATACAGCTTATGTATTACCATTTTTATTTTATGCACAATAACTACTAGCCTGAGGAAGAACTGGATCTGGCTAATCATCCTCTGAATTCTGTGTTAAACAGTTCTTCACAAGCTTATCATAAGACACAAATAACAGTAGGTCAAGGGGGGAAAGAATAATAAAATTAACACAAGGATATAAAAAAGTGCATAATGGGTTTACAGGACAAATCAGTTGTTTCTTTAAATCTATCCCCGTACTGGCTTCTCCAAATGTTAGGCATATTTGTGTTGGTGCTATTGCTATATACATGCCATAAATGCTGCACCAAATGTAAATGTTATAACAAATATCATCATTTTTCTGTGGGAGGTTCATGGCCAGAGACCAAGGGGTAGAATTTTCCATTGTTTTCTGGCATTTAATGTTAGCATTAAGAAACCAAACCCCAACATATTTTGTTTTTACAC